>NC_000004.12:157103199-157406229 GCF_000001405.40 Homo sapiens | reverse complement strand
CATAGTAGCAGGGATGGAAGTTATGCCTGGGCTCAGCAACATGGACTTCCACTCACCAAGGCTGACCACCACCAAACTGGGCCACCACTGGGTAGCAGAGACCATCACTGAGTCCTTGATATGGCACAATTCCCTGGGGTGATCAGATAGCTACTTGGTGGCAGGTTGACTCTATTAGACCTCTTCCATTATGGAAAGGTCAGCGGTTTGTCCTCACTGGAATAGACACTTACTCTTGCTATGGGTTTGCTTCTCCTGCATACAATGCTTCTGCCATGACTACCATCCATGGACTCAAGGAATGCCTTATCCACCATCATGTTATTCCACATAGCATTGCCTCTGACCAAGGTACTCACTTTATGGCTAAAGAAGTACAGCAGTGGACTCACACTCATGGGATTCACTGGTCTTACCATTTTCCTCATCATCCTGAAGCAGCTGGATTGATAGAATGGTAGAATGGCCATTTGAAGTCACAATTACAATGCCACCTAGGTGACAGTACTTTGCAGGGCTGAAGCAAAGTTCTTCAGAAAGCTATGAATGTTCTGAATCAGTGTCCTACATATGGTACTGTTTCTCCCATAGCCAGGATTCACGGGTCCAGGAATCAAGGGGTGGAAGTGGAAGTGGCACCACTCACCATCACCCCTAGTGATCCACTAGCAAAAGTTTTCCTTCCTGTTCCCACAACATTACATTCTCCTGGCCTAGAGGTCTTAGTTCCAGAAGGAGGAATGCTGCCTCCAGGAGACACAAAAATGATTCTATTGAACTGCAAGTTAAGATTGCCATCTGGCCACCTTGGTCTCCTCCTACTTTTAAGTCAACAGGCTAATAAGGGAGTTACAGTGTTGGCTGGAGTGATTGACTCAGACTATCAAGATAAAATCAGTCTAGTCTTCCACAATGGAGGTAAGGAAGAGTATGTGTGGAATACAGGAGATCCCTTAGGGCATCTCTTACTATCACCATGCCCTGTGCTTAAGGTCAATGGGAAACTACAACAACTCAATGCAGGCAGACCTACAAATGGCCCAGACCCTTTAGAAATGCAGGATTGGGTCATTCCACCAGGATCTGCTGAGGTGCTTGCTGAAGGCAAAGGAAATACAGAATGGGTAGTAGAAGAAGGTTGTCATCAATCCAAGCTACAATCATGTGACCAGTTGCAGAAAGGAGGACTGTAATTGTTAGGAGTATTTCCTCCTTATTTTGTTAAGAGCATGTTTATGCATGTATACACTTGTGCTAAGAAAATATCTTCATTTTATTTCCTTTTTCCTTTATCATGTGACATAAGATTTATTGACTTCATATCAGCATTTAAGTGTTGTTAACTTTTATGTTATAGCATTTGGGTTGGGGATTGGTGTACTTCCAGTTGTACAAAGGATAGCTGTATTATGTTAGGTGTAATTATGACCTTATTATTGTCTTTATTTGAAGATTATGTATGATTTCAGTAGATGCGTAGGACTTCAAATTGACAAGGGGTAAATTTGTGTTGGTTAATATTGATCATCAACTTAATTGGATTGAAAGATGCAAGATATTGTTCCTGGGTGTTTCTGTGAGGGTGTTGCCAAAGGAGATTAACATTTGAGTCAGTGGACTGGGAGAGGCAGACCCACCCTCAGTGCGAGTGGGCACCATCTAATCAGCTACCAGCATGACTAGGATAAAAGGAGGCAGAGGAACCTGGAAAGACGAGACTGGCTCAGTCTTCCACACTTCATCTTTCTCCTGTGCTGGATGCTTCCTGCTGTTGAATATTCGACTCCAAGTTCTTCAGCTTTTGGACTCTTGGACTTACAACAGTGGTTTGCAAGGGGCTCTCAGGCCTTTGGCCACAGACTGAAGACTGTACTGTCAGCTTTCCTACTTTTGAGGTTTGGGACTCGGACTGGCTTCCTTGTTCCTCAGCTTGCAGACAGCCTATTGTGGGATTTGACCTTGTGATCATGAGAGTCAGTACTCCTTAATAAACTTCCTTTCATATATACATCTGTCCTATTAGTCCTGTCCCTCTAGAGAACCCTGACTAATACAAGGTGTAAGCCCCAAGCTTTGGCAGCTTACATGTGGTGTTGAGCCTGCGGGTGTACAGAAGTCAAGAATTGAGGTTTCGGAACCTCTGCCTAGATTTCAGAGGAATATGGAAATGCTTGGATGTACGGACAGAGGTGTGCTGCAGCAGCAGATCCTTCATGGGGAACCTCTGCTAGGGTAGTGTGGAAAGGAAACGTGGGGCGGGAACCCCCACACAGAGTCCCCACTGGGGCACTGCCTAGCGGGGCTATAAGAGGGCCACCGTCTTCCAGACTCCAGAATGGAAGAGCCACTGACAGCTTGCACCATGCACCTGGAAAAGCTGCAGGCATTGAGTAATGCCAGCCCCTGAAAGCAGACGGGAGGAAAACTGTACCCTGCAAAGCCACAGGGGTAGAGCTGTCCAAGACCATGGGAACCCACCTCTTGCATCCGTGTGACCTGGGAGTGAGACATGGAATAAAAGATCATTTTGAAACTTTAAGATTTGACTGCCCCACTGGATTTTGAATTTGCACAGGGGCATGTAGCCCCTTTGTTTTGCCCAATTTCTCCCATTTGGAATAGTGTATTTACCCAATGCCTGTACTCCCATTATATCTAGGAAGTAACTAACTTGCTTTTGATTTTACAGGCTCATAGACAGAAGGGACTTGCCTTGTCACAGATGAAACTTTGGACTGTGGACTTTTGAGTAAATGGTGAAATGAGTTAAGACTTTGGGGACTGTTGGGGAAGGCATGATTGAAAGGCATTTTGAAATGTGAGGACACGAGATTTGGAAGGGCCAGAGAACAATATGGCTTGTCTGTGTACCCACCCAAAACTCAACTTGTATTATAGCTCCCATAATCCCCACATGTCATGGGAGGGACCTGATGGGAGGTAATTGAATGGGAACTTTTGTACATTGTTGGTGAAAACGTCAATTGATAATAGTCATATGGCAAATAATACAGGACTTCCTCAAAAAAATAAAAATAAAACTACCATGTAATACACCAATCCCTCTTCTGGTATATATGCAAAGGAAATTAAATCAGCACCATGGAGAAATCAGCACCATGTAGAAATATCTTCACTTAGATGTTCATTGCAGTGTTAGTTATAATAGCCAAGGTATAACAACAACAAAAGTGTCCATCTATGGATGAGTGGATAAAGGAAGTGTGATATATATATAATGAAATGTAATTCAGCCTTTAAAAAGAAGGAGCTCCTGCCTTTTGCAGCAACATGGATGTACATAGAGGAAATTATGCTATGTGGAATAAGCTAACACAGAAATAAAAATACTGTATAATCTCACTTATGTATGCAATATTTTTTAAAGCCAAGTAATTAGAAACATGATTTTTTGTCTTCTCTGATTTAAGAATTTTTCTTTTCTAAAAATTGGTAAGTTTTTACATCCACTCTTGTTTTGTACCATAATCGACTTCATCTTAATTTATTTAGAATCCTTTCTAGAAAGTAATTAGCTTTCAACTCTTTTGTCTCAATCTGTTTCCAAATATAAGCAGCGTAACATTTACACAGATTTAATTACTACCAAATCAATACTACACATTTAAATCTAATTATAGTACAAGAATTAGAGCTCTGGTGAAGAAAAGATTTTCTAGCTAATTAGGAATTTAGCCTGCATTTAAACCAGCAGATTCTTAGTTCTGACTACCTTGATAAAGTACATGATATTAAAAACTGACTTAAGGACAACTAATTGTAGTCACAATCGTTATTATAATTATATATTAGGTGTACATAATGCCATATTTGTTTCTAACAGTTTCTCCATTTATAGGCAATCTTTTTTTTTTAATCTAACCTCCAGCTAGGACTTACGCCCAGAGAGAAAACTTATCTCTCCTTTTCTTAAAGTTATCCTCAGAAGATAAATCTTACAAATATCATTGTAGTACTGCATTGATGGTATAATATAAACTTAAAATCTACCTGTGCTTTTCACTTCCTTATTTGTGATCTTCTGGGGAAACAACAGATATCCAACTCTGTCTACATAATGAGTCTTTCAAATAGGTATATTTGAAATAGCCTATTTCTACTAAACTATGTGATGTACACATAATGCACAGAAAGATAATCTCAAACTGCTCAAACTTAACAACAAATAAGCATCAGTTGTGTGTTTTGAGTGCAAATAAGTTTTGAGGTTTCTATATGAAGCAGTAGACTATTGATAGTTGCATAAGTTTTGAATCTAAGAAACAGCACCCTGGAGGCACAAATTCTCCTGTTTTCCTTCACACATCACATCATTTCTTTATACAGTTGCCCATGGCTCTGCACCATTAGTTTTCTCAAAAATTCCTGTTGTCAAAAGCAAAATCAAGATGACCCTTTTTCCCCAAACTCTCTTGTAACACCTCTATAGAGGCAGAATCTCATTCCACTTAATATATCTATATATTATACACACATGATATACTGTCTTTGCAGGCATCAACTTTTAATTTAATTTTCTTATGCCTATCTCTACAGAGAAATGTAAGCTCCTCAAGAGCAAGGGTGCTTGTCCTAGCCAGCAAGACACTGCCTAGTACATAGTAAGTTTATAATAATTCTTGTTAATATAATTTTTAAGTCATTTTACCATTTGCCTTCTGTTTTCCCTCTCTTACCATTTTTTTTTTGGTCTGTGAGAATTGGTTTTCTAGTTCTGTAAGGGTACTACTTCTCTCTCTTTTCAAAAAAATTTTTCACATATAGCTCCTTAGTGGTTTTACAAACACTGTTCTGCATTGTTTCAGTTATTATGTCACTTTGAGAACCATTCTTCTTCACTTCTCTTCCTAAGGAAGGCTATAAATACGAACAATATCAATACCTCAACATTTCCAACAATGCTTTGTGTTTACGATACAATTGGAATTTTAAAATTATTTTACTTTTGGTAGGTGAGAAAACTAAGGCATAAAGTGATTGAGACTAACCACATATAACTAAGGCAGGTATAAAACTAGAAATTTCTTTTTTTGTTTGAATTATTTAGTTCAGGTCAGTTTGAACATATCACCTTGAATTTGTATTAGTATTCTGTATTTCTTTTTAAAAAGTTAAAATGATACTTTATCTATTTTTTCTGAGACAGGATCTAGCTTTGTCACCCAGGCTGGAGTGCAGTGGCATGATCATGGCTCACTGCAGCTTTGAACTCCTTGGTTCAAGCAATCCCCCTGCCTCAGCCTCCCAAGTAGCTGGGACTACAGGTGCGTGCTGCAACACCCATCTAAATTTTTTAAAAATATTTTGTAGAGACAGGGTCTCACTATGTTGCCCAGACTGATCTCGATTTCCTGAGCTGAAGTAATCCTCCTGACAGCCTCTCAAAGTGCTGAGATTACAGTCATGAGCCGCCATACCTGGTCCACTTTGATTATTCAGTGAAGTGTTTCCAAACTGTGCAATATCCCATTGTCTTAACATATTTGTTTGTCAAGCTTCATAATTCTTTGATGGACCATTCTGACCATGAGCAGGTAAGTGCCCTATACTTTCACAACAGTATTCCACAGAATACAATCAGCATGTGTTTAACCCCAATCACAAAACATTTCTTATCTTCATCCACTGGTGCTTTAACCTTTTCTACTACCCTCTTCCTTACTGGATTCTTTAGTGATTTCCTTTTGAAAAAATATTTTTCTCTCTGGTAGAATAGAAATGTTGTAGTAAGTCCAGATTTTTACTAACCTTCCCAACTCACACCACCTTTGGAACAGCACCCTGTTTGTTACCATAAGCTACCTCTCCTGACAGAGGAGTAAGCATTACAACTTTAGCAAAGGTGCATTGCTTTGCTTTGTTTCCTTTGTATACAGTTCTTGTGATACTTACACACATACACACAGACAAACACACACACACAAACACACACACATACCGAGAGAGATGATAGATGGATGATAGATACATAGATAGAGAGATATGAGAGATATGTGTGTGTAAACATAAATGTAGATACAGATATAAAGCTGCATTTAATATTTTAGGGTAATACTGATTCTACTTAAGACCCTTGCTGTAAGGATCCACTTATTTCACAAATATGTTTTATTGTCTTCTATGTATTCAGCCCTGTGATATGCACTGAGAATATAATGATATAATTGCTTTATTCTCTATTGTACAAAGGTGGAAGAAATATACATCAGATAACCAAGAAATAAACATACATTTGGACAGTATAAAAATGTGCTAAGAGAAATTAGGGTTTTATGAGAGAGAATTAGAGGGGAACTACATTAGATTGAGAGGCTTCTTTGAAGAAGTAGCATTTAGCTGACTCCCGAGGGCTATAACTCAGTTGAATAGTAAGTAGATAGAAGAAATGTTTCAGGCAGTGGATACAGCCTGTTGAAGTCCCCGAAATGGGGAAGAACTTGGCATGTTACAGGGGCAGTAAGAAGGATTCTGGGTCTGAAATGTGGTGTTGGAGTGGCAGAAGTGGTGATTGTTGGGTTGGCAGGAGATGATGCTTAAAAGGTGGAGAGGCTATATGAATTTGTAGGCTGCAGTTAGGATTTGAGATTTTCATTCAAAATGTAACAAAAAGTCATTGAAGAGTTTAGAGTAGTAAAACATCATGATTTACATTTTGGGAACATATCAGTAAAATGAAATGATCAATTACATAAAGTGAATGATAGATGTAAAACAAAATAACTGTTTTTATAGAGGAATGGATAGGAGACATGTGGACTTACTTCAAATTTATTTGTTGGTGAAAAAAACCCTTTGATTTTGATTTTAGATATCACTTCTGCTTCCCTTCAATTTGAGAGAGATATTCAATTAGCTAAAGTCAAAAGAAATCAATAATAATAACATCCATATGGAGAACAGAAAGAAAACCATTCATATGTGTATGCATCATCCCAATCTGAGAAAAAAAATCATAGTGATCGTTTGTAGAAAGGAATTTGGTAAGATATTTTTGCTGTTGCAATATTCATCTTGTCTCTAGTTTCATCTGGAAATAAAAATTGTAGCCAGATATTGCAAACTCCCTGATAACACACGCATTTAAAATTAAAATTGTTCATCTCCTACAGATGCAAATATCCTTAGATTTGTGGCACTTTAAAAAGTAAATATAATTTCATTATTTTATTAATAGATGATTTAAAAACATGAGGAGGTTATTTTGATGATATAAGTTATCTTCACTGGTTATTTCTAACAAATATGTTTAAGTCACAGAAGGTTTACAATTTTCTATTCTTTTCCATTCCAATGCTTTATCATCTTTGTTTTCATTGCCAACTTTTTTTTTAGAAAGCCTAAATTCACTATTTAACATCATTAAAACATTTCTTACCTATTATTACCCATAAAATTATCATCAAAAATCACTAATGATGTCCTGTTAAATACAACAGCTTTTTCTGTTTGTAAACCACTTTATACAATACCAGATAGCACCTTTATTCTTTAAACTTTCTCATTTGCTATATACTCAATTTTCTACCTTCTTTCAATCAGTTTTTTTTTCTCATGAATTTATTAAATTTCATCAAAGTGGCTTTCTCACTGAGCACTTCTGTGGTGGCAGTCCCATCCATTCTATAGTTGTAAATTTCCTCTAATTTTGATGGTTTCTGTACTTACATCTATAAATAGACTTGACAGCCTTCTTCCCACTCATCAAAATGTATACAAATCAGAATTCAATATTTCCCCCAACTTATTATCTCAGCTGAAGACAATACCTTCCACCCAGTATCATAGACTCCTTCATTTTCAAGCCTGATTTTAAATTTAGCTGCTATAACCCAATAATTTTTTATGAAATCTGTCAGCTTTATTTCCTCCACTGATGCCACCTAAATGGATTCTCTAATTGATCACATTGCCCACAATTTCTCTCCTTTTGATTCCATCATTCATACACCTCTTATATTTTTATCAAGTATTGGTGACTTGAAAGCACGTGCTTCATAAAAAAAGTGCTTATAAAAATATGTCCCAAATCCTTTGTATGAACTTCAAATAAGTTGTGGCTTAAATATAACCTACCTTCCCAAGTTTACCTATCAATATACATTACACACAGCATGTTCTTCATCCCTAAGTGTACTTGGCATTTTTAGAATACACAATACATTTCTCTTGTTCCTTAAAAGCAGAGACCAAGATTCTCATAAAAGTGATTTATTGAAGGAATTTTCTCAGAAGTAGGAGAATGAGAGAATAATAAAAATGTGTTGCTTAGTATTCGTCTTTATAGAGCACATTGTCTTTCTAATCAGCATTAGGTATTTATTTTCTTCTATCTTCTTTTATAATGAGTTATTTATATGTGGTAACATCCTTGGGCATAAAGACAGATATTTTTATTCATTATTTTTATATTCACTACACTACAGCATCTAGCAAAAAGCTCTAAAACATAGTCAGAATTTTAAAAATATTTATTGAATTGGATTGTCAGTAAAACTGAGTAGTTTACAGGAAATCTTGAGAGTAGTAATCTTTTTCTGGAAAACGGGCTATTATGTATTTTATATTTCAATGTCCCATTTATGATTATGGATTTAAGCCCTTCTTTTGTATTTCATGTCAGACCTTTCAAAAATCATCATTAGTTTTTGTCACTGAAATGCTACTTGGTATTGTTCCAAGAGTAATTATATTAGCCATTTTTTATTTTCTATAGCAAAACTGAAAGCTATTGCACATAAAACTCATAGAACTAAAGAGATTCTTGTGAGGTCATCTTCATCCAAGTCCTAAATGAAACTACACTGGTCTCAAATTATTCACAAAAGTAGCTGTCCACTTGTTGCATTTACTTTTTTAAGGAACATACCAGCCCTCCAACATTTCATAGGCTTTATTAGCTTTCTTTCTGTACATCAAAAAGATACTGTGCCTTTTTTTTCCTGTTTTCTCGGCCTCTTTGATACAGCCTAGGTTCCCTCTGAACTGCCTTTATGATTAAAAGCAAATATCTACTTACATATATCTTTCTCAACTGTCAGTCTTTTTTTAGTTCGACATTTATTAACTTTCCTTTTTCCGTGATTGTAAGAAAGCAACTTACAGTGAATTATTTACCTTGTTTTACTGAACTTTTTATTTTGAGACTATAGATTCCCATGAAGTTGTAAGAAATAATATTTTTATCCAGTTTTCCCCAATGATAATAGCTTGAAAACTAGAGCACAATATCACAATCAGACTATTGACATTGACACAGTCAAGATAGAGAAATGTTTCATTACCATCAGACTCCTTCATGTGGCCCTTTAATATGGTCACACCCATTATCCTCCTGCCTCATCCCTTACTTAACTATGTGCAACCACTAACGAGAAAACTGCATACATGGAATCACATAACATAAAATCCTCAGACTGGCTTTTTTCACTCAGCATAATTCCCTTATTTATCCAGATTCTTGAAGACATTAATAATGTGCACCCTTTTATTACTGAATAGTATTTCATGGTATGGATATGCCACAGCTTAACTATTCCTCCAATGAAGGATACCTAGCTTGTTACCGGATTTGGGTTATTACAAATAGAGTTGCTATAAACATCCGAGCTCCCAGGTTTTTGCATGACAATGAATCATTTAGGGGGAATGAAAGCCTAGCAGTGCAGTTACTAGGTCCCAGTGTTTAGTTTTCTTAAGAAACTGCCAAACTGTTTTCCAGAATGGCTGTGCCATATTTCATAGCCACCAGCAATGTATAAGCACTCAGAGTTATCTACATCCTTGCCAGTATTTGACGTGATCACTACTTGTTATTTAAGCCATTCTAATGGGTGTGTTTGGTACTTTATTATTGTTTTAATTTGCATTTTCCTAATGGCCAATGATGTTGAATATGTTTTCATATGTTTATTTGCATCAGTATATTCTCTTCATTGAAATGTCTCTTCATGTCTTTTGTAATCATATTGTCTTCCTATTGTTGAGTTTTTTGTTTTGTTCTTGTTGTTTGAGATGGAGTTTCACTCTTGCTGCCCAGGCTGGAGTGCAATGGTGCAATCTCGGCTCATCTCAACCTCCGCTTCCCTGGTTCAAGTGATTCTCCCGCCTCAGCCTCCTGAGTATCTGGGATTACAGGCATGCACCACCATACCCGGCTAATTTTGTTCTTTTAGTAGAGACGGGGTTTCTCCACGTTGGTCAGTCTGGTCTCAAACTCCCGACCTCAGGTGATCCACCCTCCTCGACCTCCCAAAGTGCTGGGATTACAGGCGTGAGCCACTGCACCCACCCCTTACTGCTGAGTTTTGAGAGCATTTCAAATGTACTTCATATTACTCATTTGTCAAATATAATATTTGCAAATATTTTCTCATACTTCATAGTTTGCCCTTTCATTTCCTTAATACAGTTTTTACATAGAAAATTTTTTAATTTTGATGAAGTCTAATTTGCCAATTTTTTATTTTATGGATCACGCTTTTGTGTAAAGTCTAATAACCCATGTGTAGCCCTAAATCTTGAGGATTTTCTCTGATTTTCTAAAGGTTATAGTTTTACATTTTACACCGACTCCATAATTCATTTGAGTTAACTTTGTGTAAGGTGAAAGAGTTAGTTCAGCCAGTGTTCTTTTGTTCTTTTTTTTTTTTTTTTTTTTTTGACGGAGTCTCGCTCTGTCGCCCAGGCTGGAGTGCAGTGGCGAGATCTCCGCTCACTGCAAGCTCCGCCTCCCGGGTTCACGCCATTCTCCTGCCTCAGCTTCCCGAATAGCTGGAACTACAGGCGCCCGCCACCACGCCCGGCTAATTTTTTTTTGTATTTTTATTGGAGACGGGGTTTCACCGTATTAGCCAGGATGGTCTTGATCTCCTGACCTCGTGATCCACCCGTCTCTTTCTTTCTTCTTTCTCTCTTTCTTTCTTTCTTTCTTTCTTTCTTTCTTTCTTTCTTTCTTTCTTTCTTTCTTTCTTTCTTTCTTTTCTCTTTCTTTCTTTCTTTCTTTTCTTTCTTTCTTTCTTCTCTTTCTTTCTTTCCTTCTTTTCTTTCTTTCTTCCTTTCTCTCTCTTTCTTTCTTTCTCTCTTCCTTTCTCTTTCTCTTTCTTTCTTTCTCTCTTTTCTTCCTTCCTTCCTTCCTTTCCTTCCTCCCTCCCTCCCATCTTTCTTCCTTCCTTTCTACCCTTCCTTTCTACTTTCCCTCCATGTAAATTTTAATATAACCTTAGTTATTCTAGAGAAAATCTTGTTGGGATTTTTTATAGGAATTGTATTAATCCTATACTTCAATTTGTGGAGAATTCATATCTTGATTATGTTGACTCTTCCAATCCAATAACATGGTATGTCTTTCCATTTCTTAGATCTTTCTGAATTTTTTCTTTGGCATCATATAGCTTTCAGCATTCAACTTCTGTATATATTTTGTTAAATTTACACCTAAATATTTCCTATTTTGTGCAATTGTAAATGGTATTATCTTTCTAATTTTCGTTTCCACATGTTTGCTGTTAGGATTTTTGCATGTTTACCTTCTATCCTGAATCTTTGCTAAACTCGTGTATAAGGTTAGGGAAGTTTGCAGGGGTTTTTTGTACATTCATTTGATTTTTTTTTTTTTTTGGAGTCAACCATGTCATCTGAAAATAGATTCAGTTTTATTTCTTTCTTTCCTTTCAACACACCTAATGTTTCTTTTTCTTGATATATTAGTTAAAGCTTCCACAATTGTGTTGAAAGTGTTATGAGCATGGTAATTTTTGTCTTGTTCCCTTTCTTATAGGGAAAACATTCAGTCTTTCACTATTAAATGTAATATAAGTTGTGGGTTTTTGGGAGGTGTTCTTTATCTAATTAAGGAAGTTCCTCTCTATTCCCATTTTTCCGAACATTTTCATTTTCATTTTTATTACTTTTTTTTTTGAGCGAGTCTTGCTCTGTCGCCCAGGCTGGAGTGCAGTGGCTCTGTCTCGGCTCACTGCAAGCTCTGCCTCCCGGATTCACAGCATTCTCCTGCCTCAGCCTCCCGAGTAGCTGGGACTACAGGTGCCCACCACCACGCCTGGCTAATTTTTCGTATGTTTAGTAGAGACGGGGTTTCACCATGTTTGCCAAGATGGTCTCGATCTCCTGACCTCATGATCCACCTGCCTCGGCCTCCCAAAAAGTGCTGGGATCACAGGCATGAGCCACTGTGCCCGGCCCCGAACATTTTCATAATAAAGTAGTATTTTATTTTATCAATTACTTTTTCTGCATCAATGAAAAACAGCCAGAGAAGTCAGAAAATTCTGAGACTATCAAATAGATATTTATTAATTGGGGTCAGCAATTTTTTCTTCTGGAAAATGCCAGAGAGTAAATATTTTAAGTGTTGTATATCACATATTCTCTCTTTTTTATATACTTTGGTTTTTATTTTAGAACTCTTTAAAAGTTTAAGAACCATTGCTAATTAACATCTTTACAAAAATAATCCTCAGGCCACATTTGGGCCACGGGCATTAGCATAGTCCCAACCACTATTTTGGGATAATTCCTCATGTTGGTTCATTTCCTCCTGTGAGATGTAATTTTTTAATGTGAACTTTTATTTAAGAAGAACTGCTTTTTATATGGACTCTTATTTGATCTGGATTATGAAAAAAATGCCTTAATTACATGTGGACCTATTTGTGTTAGTTTCCTATTCTTTAGTAATCTATATCAACAGGGAGTGTAAACATGAATGTCACAACATGGTGTGAGGGTGCCCAGTATTTTTTATTTCAATTTTTGTTTTTGTTGCCTATGTTATATGCTAGAGAGAAATTATATTTGCTGTTTTTCTATGTTTCTTAAATATATATTATATATAAATTAGACTTTATCAAATCCAGGTTTTATTCAGAGGCTCAGGTTCAGTCCTTTTACTTTTTCAAGCTCTGATGGCAAACCTTTTATCTTTGAGTATTTAACTGTAATTTCTAAGCCTCAAAGCCATGTGCCTTTTTCAAAACTACAGAACACCAAAGCAGCTTGGGCTTTTCTTATTACTTATTTTCTTTTCTTAATCTCTGGATTTGATTTCTCTATTCATTCCTGGCACCTAGGTGTTTCATTCTTTCTTTGAATGGAAGTAATTAGCATCTATATTGCTTTATTTTCTTACGTAATCCTAACAACAACCCAGGTCTCAGAGTCTAGATACTCAAAAGATATTCTTTAAGTGGAGGGTGAATTTGTGTGCTTTATATTGTTCTCTGGACCTTTCCTCTGATCTCCACTTTTCTCTAGACTTGTGTGTTAGGCTCCTAGGAGTCAACACCATAATATGTATAAGAAAAAAAAAGCTACTTCAGGTAATTATGTGAAAGCCATGCAGAAAGTATGGGAATTATGCTTTGCTACTTAAAGAAACTAACTTTAATACAGTAGAAGATGAAAAAGATTCTCACCAATTTGATGTACAACACAGCTTAGATGGATGCATTGAGAGAACCAGAGAACAGAATATTGCTCTCCCTTGTAATCATCTAATGAAATTCAGCAGAGACACGAACATTTGAAAATATTATAAATAATAATAATTTTATCTTCACCACTCATGGTAGCAGCCAGAGCTTCTTTGGGTTCTGGTGGTGTTTTGCTTTGAGGGTGGGCCTATCTGGATCTTTCCCTTTAATATGGCTAGATTGAAAAGATTTTCACCAAACATTTAGGAGATACAGAAAGCCAAAAACACATAAAATATCTGTATCTGCCATTTTCTTTAAAAACATTATATCTATTTATTCTTCTTGACCCAAGGAGAAAATGATTTTCAGTGAGTTTATGAGAAAGTTATAGAATTGCAGAGATAGAATTTGAACTCATGTTTTTTTCTGACAATAGATTGTGACTTCTTTCCGCTATGTTCTGCTGCTTCCCCAAAATATTAAAAGGTTTTTCATAAGCATGAGATACAAGATTGAACTTTGTGTTCAGATCACTTATCTAACTAGGGCTTAATGAAATCTCTCATAAAGGGCCAAAATCATTGCTGTAGCCTCAATTATTGTATCTACGCCAAGGTAGAAAGTTGAAAAAAATCTTAAGTTACAGAAGACATTATTGAACAATGATTACACTTAAATTTATTAAACTTATGTTTTGTGCTCTATCTGAATAACTGTAGAAGATAATATTATTTGAAAACTAAATAAAACTCTATTATTAAATTTATTTTAATATTTAGTTTGGGGCATCACTTTTTCAGATCAAATTAGAATTTGATGTTTAATTGAGAACACATTTCCACATCCCGGGTTTATGCCTAAATAATAAAATTGTTATTTAATGCCTCAATTGAGATTGTCTTTTTTTTGTTTTGTTTTGTTTTGTTTTTTTTGAGACGGAGTCTCTCTCTGTCGCCCAGGCTGGAGTGCAGTGGCACAATCTTGGCTCACTGCAAGCTCCGCCTCCTGGGTTCACGACATTCTGCTGCCTCAGCCTCCCGAGTAGCTGGGGCTACAGGCGCTCACAACCACGCCCGGCTAATTTTTTTTGTATTTTTAGTAGAGACGGGGTTTCACCATGAGATTGTCTTTTTAATGTTAAGTTTAATGCCACTCAAAAGTCTGACTCTTTAAAAATAAAATTTAACTAGCAAGGAAACTCAAAATTGATCACTCTAATTTAGAAGACCCTAGGTGAAACTTTAAAAAACATAAATGATCTGCTGAAAAAAACAAAAGAGATTGAAGAAACTGAAAGTATGTGTGAAGCAGATTTCTCAGGGAGAAGATATGTATGGTAGAGGTGATTATATTCATCTTGAGAAAAGCTAGTGGCTGATTAGTAGATCATGATAGTCAGTATATATCTAAGATTTCCAGTAAGTATTTAATAAGATTTTACAAGAAGATCTGATGGTTTTTTGGCCAAATTCTACTAACAATGAATAGGTGGCATGCTAAAGCCAGCTTATACTGATTAATGAGAGCCAGTAAATAAATATTCAGGAAATTTGCGGTATGGTAACTAACAAGCAGGTAGCTTGAAATCAACCTCAGTGGCAGTATTTACGCCATGGAGACCAACAGATGAGGCAAATCAGTCTTGTCTTTTCCTCATGGCATGCCAATTTACCAGCACACCATTGGCTCTTTCAGAAATTGTACAAATCACTGAGTTCTCCAGGCATAAGTCTGAGAAAATAGGTCATATAATCTTGATATATCTAGTTGGATCTGAAATTAGAAGTGTTTGTAGACAATGGACAATAATAGGAAGAAGCTGAGGAAATAGATATAGTGCAAATTAAGATTTAGTCATTATCTTATTGTTGATTCACATGCAACATTTACATCATGCTGTATTCATTGTATGTATGGCTTGGATAAACACATGGAAACTTATGGTATCAAATGTGTGGATCCAGGGAAGCTAGAATAGACAAAACACTGAATATGGGAAATATAATTTTAAAATTAAAAGACTCTTTCCTACAAAAGTGAATACATTTCTGACACCATATAATTATTGTAACCATATGTATATTTAATATTTTTCTAAGTAAGTACTGCCTTCATCTTACTTTAGAAGTGATGAAAAATCCCCCTTGTTTCCTGATCAGTCATTCTGATAATAGATGTAATTTCAGACAGAAATATCTTTCCTGTCTTTTTAACATGAAGCAAAATACAATCA
Source organism: Homo sapiens (assembly GCF_000001405.40). Taxonomy (NCBI): domain Eukaryota; kingdom Metazoa; phylum Chordata; class Mammalia; order Primates; family Hominidae; genus Homo; species Homo sapiens. Next base: position 157,390,545 of record NC_000004.12, on the reverse strand, counting down.
ACTATATTATTCTTTTTAGACAATAATTTTTTTTCTTTGAACTGACTAACAGCTGCTATAAAGACAGAAAAAGAGTGTCAGCACTAATTATACTTTAAATTATCAAACTCTGGACTCTTAAAAAGTTGGTAATAATTAAAACATCAAAAAATAGATCCCTAATGAATATTTGTGGTATAAATAAATTCATGACTATAATATTAACTATTAAATTATAAATTATATTATTACATTGAAAGAATCAATCTGATTCACTCAGGAACTAAAATGTCTTCATGAGATGGTACATTGGTGAAAGCAGGGCAAAACTGATAATAGACAAGTAATTCTTTTGATATATACACATATACATATAGTCATCTTTTTATTTTATGTATATGCTTTTGCTTTGCATATATAATATGTATAAATAATATGTATATTATTTTTCTAAATATATGTATAATTATCAATGTACCCAATGAAGTGAATGTGCCCCCACAACATTTAACAGTCACATCAGCAGGAAAGGGAAAACGACTGCGAAAATGTAAACAATTCCTTGCTTCAGCTACTTGTTAACTATGGCTGCAGCTGTCTGAGCCAGCTGTCCAGTGGTAGCCTGATTCCCAGCGTGCATCTGGAAGCAGTGGAAGAATGCCAATAAAGAATAAGAAAGGACCAAATATGCTAGTGGAAACCAACTAACCATGCTAAGGCTTCCACCTCCATATGTGTGGAGGGAAAGCCCTAACTCTGCCTCCTGGGAATGCCAGTGTCTCCTTCTTAGTCAGTTAATTTTACAACCTTTCCTTGTTGCTTCCAGTCATCCTGTCTTCTTAAGTCTTGCTGTGTTTCCAAAACTTATTTTTTTTCATAATTCATTATATTGCTTTCCCACTATAGCTCTCCTCACCACTTAGAATTTCTTTTGTTTCTAGTCCTGTTTCTTTAGTTGCTAATATCTGAAAATATTATGAGTGAGTATTTATTGTGTTATTTAACATTCTTGAATCTTCAGAGTGGCCAACACTTTTATTGACTCTTCACAATAACCTATTAAAAATGCGCCTTATAGTTGATGCTCAAATCTGGCCAAGATGGAGAAAAAGCAATCAGATTTACCTTCTGGGGCCTTAAAAGATTAGAAAACTAGGTGAATTACAAGAAAACAGCTCACAAGTCACATGACATGAGGGAACAAAAACCAGTTATTCCTGAAAAATGGGAAACAACTGAAGTGAACTCCAGTTTACTGACTGCAGAAAGTTTCCAGGACATAGTGCAGACAGTGGCAACTCACACAGAGGCCAGCCTCTCAGAGTTGAGGAGGTGGAACTGGAAGTGTAGGGGGCAAGGTGGCTGGAGTTCACAGAAGAGTGCGAGAGGGAAGAGAACTGCAGGAAGAACAGACTCCAAGTATCTTCAGAGGAACTCTGCGGCTGGGCTGTCTGAGCCAGCTGTCCAGGGGTAGCCTATTCCCAGCATGCATCTGTAGATGGTGTTCATTTTGAGTACTGATAAGCACACATGTGTGAAGAAACTCCTCAAGGCCAGAAAGAACCACCCACATATATTAGAGAAAATAGTGCCTAGAGATCACAACAGGCCAAGAATAGTGGCTCTTCTCCATAGCAGGAGCAGAGTTACTCGTAATTCACGTCACCAGTCAGAGTACTAAGAAGGGTCTTGCTTCAGGAATGTGGAAAAAATTAAATAGCCCCTGGTCTTCCCTAAGGAAGCCTAAAACCAAGACCCAAAACAATTAAACTTATTCCAAGTCACTCAATTGTCACAGAACAAAGCTCAGTATTATTTTACAAAACATAAATACTCAGCATTCATTAAGGTAAAATTCACAATGCCTCAAACTTGTTAAAAAATTACTAGGCGTGACAACAAAGAAGCAAAAAATATATATAATCCATAATGAAAAAGATCGATCAATTAAAAGTAAACCAGAAATAATGCAAAACATTTAATTAATAAGCACATTTAAAAATATTTTAACTCTATGTCATGCACTTAAAAAGCTGCCAGGAAGAGTAAACATGTTAAGAAGTGATATGGCAGAGATTCTTTTAAAGGACCCAAACTGAACCTCTCTAGAAAAAATCTATGAGTCTAAAATGAAAAATTCAGTGGATAGGATTAACTCCAGATTAGATGTTGCAGAAAAAAATATTACAGAGTTGAAGACATAGCAAAAGACACCCTCTAAATGAAACCGAGGGAGACGAATACCTGAAAAGATAATGGAAAACTTCAAGTGATCAAAATATGCATATGTGGAGTCTCCAAAGTAAGGAGAGGGAAACAACAATAATATATTTTACAATTAATGGCCCAAAATTTTCTGAATATGTTGAAAACTGTAAATTGACAAATCTAAGAAACTCAATGAACCCAACTTCAAAAATCATAAAGTACAGTATACAAGGCATATCAGAGTAAATTGCCTAATATCAATAATAAAAAGGAAAGATGTAAAGGAGTTAGTGAAAGACATACTGCATACAGAGGAAAGAAGAAAAGGGTGACAGATTTCTCATCAGAAATAATGCAAGTTACAAGACAAGTTGGAATATTATCTTTAATGCACCAAAATGTTTGTATGTCTGTGTACTTATATATACATTCCCCTAGAATTTTAAGTCATGGAAACATTGTCTTTCTAAACTGAAGGTGAAATGAAGATGTTTCCAAAATAAAAAGAAGCAGAAATAATTCATTACTGATAGATCATCACTACAATAAATATTAAAAGAAATATTTTAAATAAAAGTAAAATGATAACAGAGAGAAATCTGGTTCTACCCAAAAGAGCAGGGAAATAGTAATTAGAACGATAAATATGAAGGAATTTTCTTATTATTTAAATATCTTTAAAACATAATTCATTGTGTAAAGCAAATGTAATATCTTTAAAACATAATTCATTGGGTAAAGCAAATGTTGAAATGTAGCATTTATAACATATATAGAACTAAAATGTATGATAATAATAGCACAAAAATCAGAAGATAAAAATAATTATACTGTCATTGGGTTATAATTTTATATATGAAAGAATATCATGTGCATGTAGATTATGATAAGTAAAAAATACATACAATAAACTCTAAAGTGATGCCTACAATAACATAACAAAGAGCTTAACTCCTAGAAGTTAAAAAGAAAGTAAAATAGAATCTTCAAATTCCATTTTATGACTTTTATATTCTATATTCTAAAGAAAATGTATATTTATACTAAAGAATATAAGCAATTGAAAAAAGGAAATAAAGAGTAGATATAACAAATGTAAAGTATATATCAAGATGGTGTATTTGAACTCACCCATATCAATAAACATATTATATGTCTATTTTTACCCCAACTAAAAGGCAGAGATTATCAAATTGGATAAATAATTAGGACTCAACTAGATGATGCCTCCACTGAATTCACTCTATAATGATGCAAATAAGTTAAAAATAAAGTATGGAAAAGATGCAGGCTAACAATAATTAAACAAAATTAGAGTGACTATATTAACATCAGACAAAATAGAGTAAGAAAAATATATTACCAGGTAGCAAAGAGGTCAATTCATCAAAAGATGCACTGATCATAAATATTTATACACCCAATAACAGAAACCCAAAATACATGAGAAGAAAACTTATAGATCTGCAAGAAGAAATAGAAAATCGACAGTGATAGAGATTTCAACACTGTCATCTCAATAACTGATAAAGCAAATAAACAATTAGTGTAAATATAGATTTGAACAATACCATCAGCCAGCCTAGCCTAAATGACATTTATAGATCACTCTACTCATTAACTGCAGTATAAATATTATTTTCAACTGCACCCAGAATATTAGGCATGATAGACCAAATTCTGGCCCATAAAACAAATCTCCGGTGTGATCTAAGAGAAAGATGAGATCTAAGAGACAACAATGTCAGAATGTGAAGAAGTAAGTTCTTGGAGACGTGCTGATGACAGGAAAGATGACCGGGCAGAAAAGTGGAGCCCTCCTCATTGACTTGCTCCCCCAGCTCTTTCAAGAGGCTGAGAAAGAGACCCAGACCGAGAAAGAGACCCAGACTGAGAAAGAGAATGTGAAAAAGAGAAGGCCTCATGGAGAGCTGAGAAAGATAGGGAATCTCCTTTTCGTACTAAAAATGAAACTAATGAAGATGGATGGACCATAGTACATTAAGTCTCAAGATAATGGATTTAAACTGGTGTATTAAGTAAGTACAATCACATTCAAGGATTATTATACTCATGCTTCAGTCAATCTAAATTGGATTCTTTAATGTTGTTTCACCATAAAACAAGAAGCATGAACTTGTATTAATCATATATAATAGATTGATCATGCCCCATATCCACAGGAGGTTGGAAAAACCATGCCATCTTCTGGAATTTAAGGGTGTAGCATTATTTCATGGATCATCTGTTGACAAAAAAATAAAAATAAAAAATAAATTTAAAATGTGAACCTTCAGGTATTGAGTAACATTTTATCTTTGTATAGAACTGATCTTTTTTATTTTAAAATATCTGATATTAATTTGGAATGAAGTAAGGTTCTGTCAAAGAGGATGTGGAGAAATAGGAACGCTTTTACACTGTTGATGGGAGTGTAAACTATTTCAACCACTGTGGAAGACAGTGTGGCGATTCTTCAAGGATCTAGAACTAGAAATACCATTTGACCCGGTGATACCATCACTGGGTATATACCCAAAGGATTATAAATCATGCCACTATAAAGACACATGCACACATATGTTTATTGCGGCACTATTCACAATAGCAAAGACTTGGAACCAACCTAAATGTCCATCAATGATAGACTGGATTAAGAAAATGTGGCACATATACACCATGGAATACTATGCAGCCATAAAAAATGATGAGTTCATGTCCTTTGTAGGGACATGGATGAAGCTGGAAACCATCATTCTGAGCAAACTATCACAAGGACAGAAAACCAAACACCGCATGATCTCACTCATAGGTGGGAATTGAAGAATGAGAACACTTGGACACAGGGTGCAGAACATCACACACCTGGGCCTGTAGTGGGGTGGGGGGATGGGAAAGGGATAGCATTAGGAGAAATACCTAATATAAATGACGAGTTAATGGGTGCAGCAAACCAACATGACACATGTATACACATGTAACAAACCTGCACATTGCGCACATGTACCCTAGAACTTAAAGTATAAAAAAAAAGAAAAAAAAAGAAAAGAAAACATATTTGAAGACCCTTTAAAGCAGTGAATCTGAAACAATTTTCACAGCTTTAAGTGATTGAAATGTACCTCTTTTAAGTATTTTGAAGTATTTACCATAAACTAAATTTAGAAAGTTTTTAGATTCACTTTAAATAGACATTACAAACATTGGATACAGTGGAGTTTTTAGATTTTACTTGAGAGAAGGTGAGAATAAAGCACTTTGCAGTTGTTATTCTAATGACAAGAATGCTGCACAAGTGTAAATCCAAACAGTACAGCTTTTAAATTTTAAAGCATTTGGTAAACTATCGCTGAGTTATTTTCTGTTCCCAATAGCAAACTGCTTTTCCATTAATGGAGAATTCACGACTTTCAAACATTTTAAATATGACAATATTTATAAATGTATGGTTTGGAGGAATCATTTAAATTCTATTTCCTAATTTTCTTTCTCTTCAAGGTAGATTATTTCAACAAGTAATTTATAGTAATGAGTGTGTTGACTTCAATTTTGGAGTGTAGTAGCTATGTTAAAGATGAACAAATCTCAATATATTTAAAAGAGTTCAAGTCATATCAAGAATGCATTCAAATCACAAATTCAATTTGAATCAGTAACAAAAACATATCTACACAGCCCTCAAATATTCAGATATTAAATACCATACTTCTACATAACCATGAGTCAATAAGTACTCAAAAGAGAAATTAGAAAGTATTTTGAATTGAATAAAAAAACACTACATTTAAATTTTATGTGAAGTTAAAATGGTACTTAGAAGAAAATGTTTAGCATAAAATAATTAAATTCATCAGAAGAAAGATCTAAAATTAATGACTGATGATTCTAGTTGAAGAAACCGTAAAAAGAAGAGCAAATGAAGCTAAAAGCAGCAGCAGAAAAAATATAACGAAGGTCAGAATGGTAATCAATGAAATAAAAACATAAACATAATGTTGAATATTCATGACACTGAAAGATTTTTTGAGAAAATCAATAAAATTGATGATTTCTGTAAGCATATAGATATGAAATAATAGAGAGGTGACAAACTACCAACCTTCCAACATCAGGACTGATAAAGCTATTGTCCCTATAGTTTTTTTATAGCTATTAAAATTATAATAAGGGAATAAGATATTCACCTTCATGCCAATAAATACTACAACTTCAATCAAATGGAAACATTTCATGAAAGACATGAACTACCAAAATGTGCTTAAGAAGTAATAAATAATGTAAATAGTCTTATATTTATTGGAATCTTCAGTTACAAATCTCACAAAAAACTCCAGGTGCCAATGGCTTACCCAGATGAATACCTCCTAACTTTGCAGCAAGAATTAATATCAACTATATATCAATTCCTCCCAAAAATTCAGGGGGTTAGAATATTACCCATTACCCAACTTACTCTCTGAGGTCAGCATTATTCTGAATCAAAAATTAAAAAAATTCAAAAAATAAATATTAAAGGCCAATATTCCCTATAAACACAGATACAAAAATTTTAATACAATTCTGACAAAACTAACCCCCAAACGTATTAAAAATGTAATACACCATGACCAAATAGTACTTATTCCTGGAATGTTAGGACAATTTAACATTAAAACCAATCATATTAACACACACACAGATATTGACACAATCATATTAACACACATGTACATTTTTGTCTGTTAATATGATTGGTTTTGAGATACACACACACATTTAAATATGCTAGGTGGTGTATCTCAATTACAGCTTTCCAGTTTTTGTTTTTGTTTTCTCTTTCCTCTTTGTGGCAAATGTTTATTGAGGTTCTCTTATGTATCCACCTTAGCTGACTTGGAGGAAGAGCAGAATTCCTGTTATACTGTTGTAAATTGTCCTTAACTATAGCTAGTGACAGGGTGGAACGTCTCATGTATGGTATGGAATCAGAAAAACTTAATAAACAGCCCATTTACCTTGGCATTCTATGCACTTACTGTTTCATGGAATCTCATTTCAATGTCAGCAGCTGTATTCTCTGTTTTACAGACTTCAGAAAAAAAACTGAAGGAAATTTTAGAAACATTGGAGAATACCGTTCTCTTCTATTTTAAGAGGAATGGAAAATGCTCACACGAAAAAAGCTGTTTTGTGCCAGGGAATATTAAGGAATGTTGGATTGGAAAAGTATTGTTTTTCCAAATCAGTAACTCAACCTTTTAATAAACAGGATCATTTATATTTAGCAATAGAATGACAGTAAAAGCTGCTTAAAGAGCAAGGACCACATTTTATACCACTTTTTATACCTAACACCAATAAAAAATAAGCACTTAATAAATGTTGTTCTGCTGACTCTAAGCTGGTTTTTCCCACAACACCACACCGTCTTCATTGTGGCCGAGAAAATGTGTAATTCACATTAATGCAATACCAGTCAGAATATTTTGCTGATTGAAGATAAACATTATTGTGCTGTCTCATTCTTGATAACTTTTTAGTTTATAATATGAAACAATTATGATCTAGATCTATGAACACACAGATTACAACATTTATCTAACAAGTGCTAAGTAATAATGTCAACACTGAAGGCTAAGCTTATTTATCAGTTTCTCTGGAGAGATATTAACTATGACCAAGACAATAGACTTCTTCCATCTGAAGTAGAATTAGCTGGTGGAAATTGAATAGAAGGATGTGTAACAACAATTTTAATTGAACATTTACTAAGTGTCAAGCATAGTAGAAGATCTGTGTATTTATTCATCTTATTTTTTTTGACTAGTTACTATTTGTAAGACACTGTCTTTTGTGCCAGAAATACAATGGTGAGTGAGACAGCTCCTTGGTAATCCTATATTCTGGTGGGGGAGGGACAGACAGTTAACAAATAAGTAAGTAAATAAGGTTTTTGCAGTCAGGGTTAACTGTCAGGAAGAAAGTAAAACAGGGTCAGTAAAACAGTATACCTATTTATGCAATATCATCACACAGTAACAATGCACCTTTGAAAATTCTCTAGCCAGCTTTGACCCTCCAGTAGAGAATGACTGGAGTAGCTGTTCTAAATTAGAAGGAGGGGAGGAGGAAAGCCTAAATGATAAGGAAAGGCTGGAGGGAACATTTATGGGAAGCTGTTTTCTTTTCTTTTCTTTTCTTTTTTTCTTTTTTTTTGAGACGGAGTCTTTCTCTGTCACCCAGGCTGGAGTGCAGTGGCACGATCTCGGCTCACTGCAAGCTCCGCCTCCTAGGTGCACGCCATTCTCCTGCCTCAGACTCCCGAGTAGCAAGCAAAGGAATCAGTGTGGGCAGAGGCCCTAAGGCGACCAGAGTTTGGCCCCCTCATGGGAAAGCAGTCAGAGGTCAGTGTGACAGGATCAGAGTGAGTGAGGGGAAAAGCCATACGGGAGGAATCAGACTCCTCCCATAGAGGAGGAAGGAGGGCAAGGAGATGCAGAACCTTGTAGGCCATGAGAGAAAGTTGGGATTTATTCTGAATAAGATGAAATTTACCGGAGGGTTTTAAGCAGAGAATAAGTAGGATATTTTATCTGTTTTTTTTTTTCATTTTTCATTTTTATTTTTATTTTTTGAGATGGAGTCTCACTCTGTCTCCCAGGCTGGAGTGTAATGGCCCGATCTCAGCTCACTGCAACCTCTGCCTCCCATGTTCAAGCTATTCTTTCGCCTCAGCTTCCCGAGTAGCTGGGATTACAGGCACCTGCTATCATGCCCGGCTAATTTTTGTATTTTTGTAGAGATGGGGTTTCACTATGTTGGCCAGGCTGATCTTGAACTCCTGACACAGGTGATCCACCCGCCTCCGCCTCTCAGAGTGCTCAGATTACAGGCGTGAGCCACTGTGCCCGGCCTCTTTATCTGTAGTTTTAAGAGATCCTTCTGGCCACTCTGGAGATCTTACATAAAATGCCAAGACTGAGCAAGCAAAAGTGAAAGCAGGGTGACCACTTAAGGGGCTAATTAATTACTTCAGGTGAGAAATGATGCCTGTTGGATTAACACAATAACAGATTTGATGAAGTGGGGTGGGTGCATTTGGAAAATATCTTGAAGGTCAAGCTGATAGTACTTGTTAATTTGTTGGATTTAGGAACTGGAGGATTAGAGGAGAAGAGGAGTCAAGAATAACACCTCAATTTATAGCTTAGTTGTTATTGGTAATACATAATATTTATTTCTCATCATAAGCTTGCCAGATAGGTGTGAAAATTCTAGTGTCACAGATGATGAAAGTGATGTTTGGCTAGAGAAGGAACTTGCCCCAAATCACACTGCTAGGGAATGGTAGAAGATTTAAGTCCAAAAAACAGTATATTTCTTTTTTTTTTTGAGACAGAATCTCACTCTGTTGCCCAGGCTAGAGTGCAATGGCACAATCTCTGCTCACTGCAACTTCCCCCTCCTGGGTTCAAGTGTTTCTCCTGCCTCATCCTCCCAAGTAGCTGGGATTACAGGCAAGCACCACCACGCTCGTCTAATTTTTGTATTTTTTTTTTTTACTAGAGGCAGGGTTTCACCATGTTGGTTAGGCTGGTCTCGAACTCCTGACCTCGTGATCTGCCTGCCTCGGCCTCCCGAAGTGCTAGGATTACAGGCGTGAGCCTCCATGCCCGGCAAAAACAGTATATTTCTTTATACAATATCATCACACTTAGTAACCTTGCACCTTTAAAAATTTCCTAGCCAGATTTGACAAGATTATAAAGCAAAAGCCCAAAGGCACAAGCTGAGCTTCAGAGCATCTGGTAGCCACAAATTAGAACTGGAAGGAATATCTAACATCAACTTAATAACAATCCACGAAAAGCACCAATTTATTCTACTCAGCCCTGACTCCACTTGAGAATTTCAGCCCATGGGGGACTCACAGCATTCCCTCAGCGTTATTAAAGCCCAATTAAAATATTTGAAGTTAGAATTGTTTCCTCAAAAGAAAAGATCCGGCCGGGCGCGGTGGCTCACGCCTGTAATCCCAGCACTTTGGGAGGCCGAGGCGGGTGGATCATGAGGTCAGGAGATCGAGACCATCCTGGCTAACAAGGTGAAACCCCGTCTCTACTAAAAATACAAAAAATTAGCCGGGTGCGGTGGCGGGCACCTGTAGTCCCAGCTACTCGGGAGGCTGAGGCAGGAGAATGGCGTGAACCCGGGAAGCGGAGCTTGCAGTGAGCCGAGATTGTGCCACTGCAGTCCGCAGTCCGGCCTGGGCGACAGAGCGAGACTCCGTCTCAAAAAAAAAAAAAAAAGAAAAGAAAAGAAAAGATCCTAGGTCACTGTATTGTGTACTGTGTTTTGGAATAAAAAACTTGGTATTTTGAGCTGGATGATTTTTTTTTTTTTTTTTTTTGAAACGGAGTCTAGCTCTGTCACTTGGGCTGGAGTGCAATGGTGTGATCTCGGCTCACTGCAAACTCCACCTCTCGGGTTCACACAATTCTAGTGCCTAAGCCTCCCAAGGAACAGGGATTACAGGCACATGCCACCATGCCCAACTAATTTTTGTATTTTTAGTAGAGACGTAGTTTCACCATGTTGGCCAGGCTGGTCTTGAACTCCTGACCTCAGGTGATCCACCCGCCTCAGCCTCCCAAAGTGTTGGGATTACAGGCATGAGCCACTGTGCCCGGCCAGGATGATTTTCTTAATAGCAGATACATTTTTGAAACTATTTTTTTCTACAGGTAGCATGAGTTAAAAAAATTACGTGAATGCTTGACCAAAAAATCAATAACTCTTCCCATTGCTAAGGCTTTTAAACTTACAAGAGTAAGGTCTAATATTGGCCATTACATCAATTCTAAAGTATTAATAGTGATTAGCGCTCTTCTATGAGACTTCGTTGAAGTCTAGTCTTTCCAGTGCCAAAAATAAAAACAGGAAGAATGGTAAACAGATGCCATCGCTTGTTGTGCATCTTGACTTGGGAAATCAGTGATTATGTCAGGTTCATAGAGCCTGACCTCCGGCACACCTTTCTTTGTCTTCCCATCATAAGCAAAGGGGAAGGTTGACAATGACGTAACTTCTGAAACAAGTCAAAGAAAGAAACCGCAACTGCAGAAGGGCTGCAAAACCTATTCCAGGAATATCTGATTAAATTGCTAAAAATAAATAAGAGTAAAAAGAGCTATGTTTAAAAACTAATTAATAATTTAAAAAAAATCTTTTCTGACTGATGCCTTCCTGCCCACTGAATTTCCAAGTTTTTCAACATCTGCTTCATAAAGAGATTTAATTAATTCAAGTTTAGCTTGGCCGGAAAAAGAGAGTCTCTATTCTTTGGACAATAATTCCCCTAAAACACTAATAATCATTTAGTTAGTAAAACCATAGTCTTCATCATCTATGTCCTGAATTATACAATGTTAACTCAAAGAAAAGGAATGTAGGATACATCATATCCTTTAAAATGTGTGATAGGGGAGAATTTCTTTGGCATAAGTAAAGCTCTATGCTGTTTTAAACAGCTTTGTAAAGAAGTCCTCAGATGCATAATTTAAAAGGAGTTTTCGGGCTGCAGCTAATTTTCCTTTTCATTATCTCTATAAATTTAAGAAAAATGTAGCACAAAGGAACATTATAATGATGTGTGATTTTTTTGTGGTAAATGTTGGGCAGAAAAATCTGTAAATTAACGAAGGAAGCTCTTAGCTATTATTGTAAAACTGTAATTTGGTTTCATGAAATATAAATCATAGACTAAAAAAGAAGCAAGGACATTAAATATGTCAAGAAATGCCAATCAAAGATGTAGACAATGATTTAGGTAAATTTATATTCAGAGAAATATTATTAATAATATCATAAATGTAGAGCCTTCATGCTTAGTAATAAGAAAATAGTTATCTAAATGTAGCATTCCTAAGTCCTTAAATTTTCACAGACTAATGATACAGTATTCAGAAATGCTCACATTATAAACTGACATGGTACAGCACAAGGCAACATAGGTTGATCAATTATTATCTTAGGCCAAGCACTGTGTTATGTACCCTAATGTATTATATCATGTAATCTCTATTTAAGAAATAGATACTTCATTTTCCTGATGTGGAAATAGGAGAGAGAGTAAACAGATTCCCAACTAACACATAATAGGTTGTAGAGCACCTATTTGATTTGAACCTGATGTGTCTCCTTCCGTATCTCACGGTCTTAACCATGGTTCAACTGCGTTTGCAACAAATTGTTGCAAATACTCAGCTTAATTATCTTTAGAGTGACCGTTTCGCTTTTTGTTGTCGTTGTTGATTGCTATCACGGTAGTATGAAGTGAACAAAGCACTCAGAACCAGTGTCATTCCATACAGAATCTTAGATAAGATACTCATTCTAATTCTGATGGGCTCAGAAATGTGCTGTTCTGGTATCTTAGGGACATAAGATATTAGGTCTTTGCAAAACTCCTGTTTCAGTGACCATGACGCTATGTAAGCAATGGCTTCCTGACTTTTTAAATTTTGAGTTCCTATACTGTATCTTTGCACATTTGGTCCTTGTTTTAGGTATTCACTGAGTAATGAAAGCATGATATTCAATGTGCTTTATTTCTACATGATGTCTAGATGGGCATCTAAGGGGATATTAACTTTGCCTCTTTTTCTGTGTGACCAGCTTCAGCATATCCGGTTTCGCTTAGAAGCTACCTGCTTTAAGGAATTCCATAACCTCCATGTTCTCTAATAATACTCTATTAAAAATTAAACTGACTACACCAAACTCTCTTGATTTTGTTCCAACTTCACTGGCTGCTGCTTCTCTGTCTTCTTCACTGATTTCCCCTCATTTCCCCACTTCTAGATACTACAGTCTCCAGGAACCAACACTTAGAACTTTTGGTAGTGTTTTATCCAATCTTGGGGTTTTAAATGCAATCTCCGTGCTGAGGACTCTCTAATTTTATGTCTTAAGATGAGTCTATCCAAGTGCCCGCTTGACTGTGTCACTTGCCAGTCTAAATAGCTATTTCAAATTTCTTTCAAAACAAAATAAACCTAGATTTTCTACCGCATCCAATAAATAAAATCAAGCAATTAAACAAATGAAACAAGCCTTTTCCTGCCCCCCCCCCCATTTCTAATCTCAGTAAATAGCACCACGGTTTGCCTACTGTCTGTCGGTCTATACTCTCACATGCAATCTATCATTGCATCCTGTAGTATTTCTGCTCAAGGTTTGGGTCACCCACTTCTCACACTACTCCAGGTGTCATCTCTCACCTGGACTTTCAGTATAGCTTCTACCTTCCTCTTTTCTTCATATTCCTCTGTGGTCTAGTTCCTTGATGAAGCAACGTGTTTTATACTGCCAGATTTGCTGGTTTCAATGACCAGCTCAAACATCACCAGCTCTGTGACCACAGAGTTGGATAATTTTTGCATCTAAGTTTCTTCATTTGTTAAATAAGAGGAATATAATATACCTTAGAGTTGACAGAGTTGATCTAAGGATGATACACATTATTCAAGATAAAATTGCTTTGCACAGTGTTTGCACACAGTAACATTCAGTGAAGGTTAGTGATTTTTTCAACCACAGCCAATTTTAATGCATAAATTAGGTCATGTCATTTTCTTATTCCAAATTCCTTATTGGCATTGTCACATTTGAATAAAATGTAAAGTCCTTAACATGACCCAAAACTCTAAAAGACCTAGACCTTTGGTACTCCTGACTCTATTTCTAACTACTGTCTTCCAGCTTACTGTGTTCAAGCCACTGGCTCTTCTGAATTATCTAAGCTATTTCAGCTTCAATTATTTATGTAAATTTCTATTCAGAGAAATATTACTACTATATACTTCCAGGTGCCTCTCATTCCTACTCTCTTCACTCAGATATTCAAAAAACTTCCTCCTTTCATATACGTTTCTGCTCAAATTTTACCCATACTTCAGGGTGATATGTTTTCCCTGACCTCCTTATCAAAAATAATACCCCATCCATCTCTACCTCTTTACTTTGCTTTTTTCACTTCATATTACTCAGAATATCCTGATACGTATTTTTTGACCATTTGTTTATTGTCAGTCCCCTTTAAAAGAGAGTAATCTGCATGAGAATAAAGACTTATTTCCTTAAGACTTGTTTACCTCTCTATTCCCATTATCTGGAACAATGCCTGGTGTTAATAACAGGTATTCAATAAATATTTGGTGAATGAAGGATTACATTACATATAATAATCTTTCTACATGTCTGTCTCCATCAATAGACTTCAGCCTTTTTCCGTTGTTTGATGCATAATGGATACAATAAATATTTATGAGTGAGAAATTATTAATGAATGAATGAACATCATGTAATTCGAAAACCATCCCCAGGGTGATAAACTAGGGAAGATGTGATGCACAGGCAACTCTTTACACCTGGAAAAACAAATATTTAATTTACAGACAACCTAAACTACTTATTTTCTTTTCTGGTTATCATTTCTGATCAATATGTGGCTCCTTTTGATTGATTAAGTACAGGTTAGACACTAGAAAGAAATGGATAATTAATTGCACAATAGTAGTAACTGTCAGTACCTTTGAAACCTAAAACTAGATCCAATTATTTGAAAGCCAATTAACTAATAAGTAGAGCAACTACTGACACAAATGCATAGCCTCGATTCAACATGTGAGATTCTCCTTGACTTTCAGCACAGGTATGTCTTTTTCATGGGTTACTATGGCTTAAATCCTACATTCCAATGGCAAAGATCACATTTGAGAGAACAGATGGAGAACACTGGATTGAGGGGAAAGGAGCATCGCAGTACTTAGTGAAAAGCTTAAGAAACGAAGACTAGAAGATCAAAGGAAATGCTCCAAATAGATGGTCAAACCCTTTTTATGTGCTTATGCTTTTCAATATTTCCTATAATAAACATTTTTGGAGAAGATTCAACAGGAGTTTATATTATTATTATTATTATTATTATATGGAATCATATCTAATAAATAAATCTAATAAATCTAACAATATAATTAATCATATATAATAATTAATTATATATAATAAAAGTATTAATTATATTCAAATATATTTCATTTAAAATATTGAGAAAATCAGCTGGAAAGAAATAATAGAAATTATCACAAAAATGTGATATGTGATTGAGGTATTTTTATTATCAAAAATGAAGGTGTGAAGATTCATTTGATCTTTTTAAAAACAAAGAGGAAAAATTCATTGAGGAGAGGTATTTTGATCTATTGTGGTGTACAAAAATCTATTCCAGGGTAAACAAAACACGGCATTTGAAAAGCACAGGCACAGGTCATTTTCTGAGCTGCATAGTAAAGTGTGGCATGGTTCAAACCACACTGCTATGTACTCACTAGCGAGTAGAACAGCATATGATACAATAGAAAGATCAGGGGCTGGAGGCCAAAGAGCTGTCTCCATGCCTGGTTCTGACCCTTTGTAGATCCCTGAATGAATATGGGCATGCTCCCTATCCACTCTTCATTAGTCACATTTGTAATAATGACTCCTATCTAATATGATTGCTGTAAGGAGCAAGTGAATGTCACCTTTGTTCAAACAAAAACTAAGCACGTTTGTTCCTGAATGAAATATTTCAGAAGCTACAAAGAGGTGCAGAGTAGAAGCTAATGGAGCAAGAAAGAGATCACTTCAGTGTATCTCCCCTGGTGTTCTATATTCCAGACTTATGTGATATTTTCCAGTTCCTCAGATTTGCCATTGTCTCCTCTGCCTGAAATGTTCCTCTTCCAACATGTTTTCTCCTTTTCCATAATTCCAATTTGTCCTTTATGTCTCAGCTTAAACATCACTTTCCTCACAGAAGCCTTCCTGAGACCACTCAGACTAGGTTGGGCCTGCCTTTTCCCATGGCACATTCTTCTCCTTTATAACTCTTTTTCTGTGTATGATTACTTGTGCAAAATCTTTTCTACAGGTTACAAGGCAGTTCTAAAGAGAGATGGACTCTGTGTGTTTTATCAACACGACATCATCCTAGTACAATACAATGGGTGAGTGCTCAATAAATATTTGTTGGATAAGTTAAAATAATTTAATTCCACATCTCATAAGAAGTAATGTAGCAAGATAGTAAGAGGGTTTGAAATATGTAAGGAATAAGTGAAAGTAAAATAATTTAATGAATACCTTGAATAATTTACTTTTTTCAACTTGAAATAGACAAAATGTAACTGACAGTAGTACCATGTTTTCTAGCATGGTATAAAGCCTGCCACATAATACATGTTCAATAAGTATTTATTCAGTAAATAAATACATCATTAAATGAGGGCACAGAACATTAGCATGAGCCCTCTAGGACTCTAACATAATACAATCTAGAAGTGATTTTTAACACAAGGAGCGATGATAAATTGCTAAAATAAAATGAACTACAATTTAAGAAACAAAACATTAAGGATTGTTTGTGAATTTCTTTTTCTCTTGGACTTACAAATATTCCAAAATACCTTGATTAGTGTCTGTATGTGCTCATAAGTGTGAATTATGAATGAGGAAAGATTAGCTATGAAAGAGTTTCTCCTGCATTTATGCAAATAATTAAAATAGAATTTATGTTTTTTTCTACAGGTAAGAAAGTTCACATTTACAATGGTAGTCTAAGGACCAAATGTAACCAAAAGGGACTTATCAGAAGGAGGAACAATTTTTACTGGGAAGATAATGAATTCAGTTTTAAAGCCTGTCCAGGTTGAGTCCCTGTGGAGATTTCTAGATGCAGTTGAGACTAAGGACAAACTATGTAATCTCTTTTTACCTCCATTTATTTAAGGTACAATAGAGATAATGATAATATTGATTGCATTTCATTTCTGTGTTAAAAGCATTAATATATGTAAAATCTAAAATAGTGGCTGGCATCTTATAGCTTTTCAATTACTATTAGTCATTATTATTAATAATATTAATTATATTAACAATAAGTTACTGAACAGTTGAATATACAAGTCTGGAACTGAGGAAAATGGCCAGGGCTGTGCACATACATTTGAGAAAACTCAGCATGAAGATGATAATAAAATCCATAGGAAAAAATGGTTTTCCTACGAGATAGAGAGTGCAATTTGAAAAGAGTTGAGCTAGGATGAAAAATATCTCCCAGGAATATCTATGTTCACATTATAAGCAGTGAAAGTTGATTCAGTGAGGGCGGCTAAGGAGAAATTGCAACAATATGGCCATTTTGAAAGGAAGTCATTAGAAAGATTCCTAAAGAAAATTAACTTCATTTAGTTAGACGATATTTTCCAGTAATCTGGCCATAAAATAAATTTTTTTTTAAAAAAAAGCAGCCCTACATAAAAATAATGTGGTATAAAAAATTACTGTGAAAGAGACAATTTATGTTTAATTTCACCTTATTTTCTTAGCAATTCTACTCCAGCACCAAACTCAGCAAAGCAAAAGCTCTGCAGTTAACATGATACGCTCTCTCTACGTGGCAGGTTAGCAGTTCTCCATTATTACTGGAGCACATTTGTCAGGGATCTCACTCTAGCCCAGATGACTTATTAGAGCAGTCTTCCAACTACACCTACTATTATCCCATGGGGACTTCACTAAATACCCTTTTCTCCACTTCATTATACATTCGGTGATGTTTTCCAGTGATGTATGAGTGCTTGTTACACATCTACTCCCTGGGCACCTGTCTGCTGTTTGGTGTGTCAACACTTTTTTTTATTTTTAGAACATTTTTTTATCTGATAGCATTTATATTGTGACCCATCTCTTTTCATGTGAAGGTTACAAGTGCTAACTCTGCTACCCTCAAACCCAGGTACAAAACCTTGTTCTTCGTTCTACTAGCTATGTGATTTTGAGCAAATTATCTAACCTCTCTATGCCTTTGTGCCTCCAATTCCTTATTTGTAAAATGAAGATTACAACAATAGTGTGTTCTTCATAATGTGATGCCTGACATATTATGTGCATTGTAATTATATGTTATTATTATCATTCCCAAAACCTGTCAGGTACTTGACGATGAATAAGACATATGTATTCTCTGCTGCAGGAAGCTTGCACTATAATAAAGGAATTTGATGTTTAAGCAAACCACTAGAGTATAGCATCATTGCTCCTTTAGAGACGTTTCAACCAGGTACAGCATTTGAACAATGAAAAATATTTAATCAGCTTTGCTTAGGGCAGAGTGAGTATGGGAGATACAGGTAAGGTGTCACAAGAAAACAAAACATTAACATGCTGCTTGAGAGATTACTAGACTTTTGCTCAATCATATATGGGAAAGATTTTTATAGGGTTTAACAATAAGGAAGAGGAAAATAAAAGATCAAACAACCATTGTCATGTCAATACCTATAAGTGAAAGCTGGCCAGATGGATAAGACAAAATTATAGGAAAAATAAGTGTGAAACAGAGGAAGTAAAAATAGTAAATGCATGCATGTTTTCCTAACATAAAATAAGTGTGACGCTTGTGAAAATATTTTCTGGTTTTGCTATTGTATTGGGAAAGATGATATGACAATAGGAATAATGTGGTGACGTGTGAATAATGACTAAAAACCTAAGAATCAAACATGAAAGTGCTTTGAAATTTACGTATTGCTGTATGATAGTATTAAATTTTAATGTGAAGTTTTATGTAAACTATAAGCCCAGATATTACCCTTTAATAATCAAATAGAGTTAAAAGCCACTATCTTTATAAACATCTGATACATGAAAATGCATATTTGACATTACATACTTTATAATTTTAACTAATTCATATTTTTATTTGCAAAATATTTTCACATTTTCTAAAAGCAAATTAATATATAATAATGACAACTTGCATTTGTCTTATAATGTACCTTTTTAAAAAAGGTTTTAGGACAACTGTTAAGCAAAAATGGACATGTATCTTTTTTTCTAATTGCTAATTGAGTAATTAATTATGTTTTCATCATAAACATTTAGGATATTAATAAACATAAATGTGGTTACTTACTAAAAATATATAGCAATAATATTTAAAATTGCCATGATGTTTCTACAGCCATTTCTATGATATGATATCCTACTCAGAGTAAGAAAAGTTTCTGGATACAAATTGAATTGCAAGAGTGTATCCTAATTCAAAAGGTAAGACATCAATTATGGGGGAAAAATCCTATGTTCCTCTGAATAGAGCATTCCTACTATCCTCACATATAGCTGTTTGTATGATAAAAAAGAGATTTTATTTGATAAAGGAAAAAAAAGTATTCAAATAGAGAATCATACCTGAGTTACAATCCTGCTTTGTCATTTACTAGCTATGTTCTCTTGGCCAATGGCTTAGTTTCTCCAAGCCTCGGGAAGTATCTCATCAGGGAAAGTGGTGTCCTGAAGATGATCATGACACTTTGAAAATTGTATCGATAACTTACTAACCTTTGATGTTAGAAACTGTATTTAGATATTTGAGGCATATACTTTTTTCTGATTTCGAGAAAACTATTTCTGAAATTGAAGTGTAATTTTATTTCCCACAAGTTCTTGTTTTTCTGATGAAATAAATGCAAAAGATGAGACAATTTAAACTTGATTCCAAAAGCCTTTTCCATGTGGAAATGCTTTGATAGCTAATTATGAATGACAAATCTTGGAAATTTAATTTTGGTGAAGTAAGTCCTTTAAAATAAATTTCACATAAAAACAGCAAGGCATAATTTTGGACTCAAGTTTAAGTTACTTTGACTCATATATCCAACCTAAGAGTGGCTAATTAATTTCTTCTGAAAACCCTTTAAAAAATCCATAAATAATTTATTCCAATTTATCTAGTGTTTTTTGCATTACAAACTCATAATTTATGGTAACAATTTTATAAATAATTATCAGAGTAAATGCTACAGAGGATGTGGATTTTTTAATACACACATAAACATACACACACACAGAAACACGAACAACATTAAATAAAAATCAACAGACATGTTTATCTCTTTAACACAAATAGCTGACAAGATAATGTACATAAAACAGACTTGAAAGCCTTTTAAGATACATACTAAATATGATTATAAAGCTGGGAATGCATTTTAATTTAAAAAGAAACCCGAAATAGACATGACAGCTGAACAGTAATCATCCACATTATCCCTCACTGTGAACTAAGGCACATATTTGCAAGAAGGATGTGCAAAGTTCGATATGTTGTGTATAATCTAGGAATCATGTAAAATTGACTGTTACATGTGATCGCAACCCATGACTTAGACTTCAGTAAAACTGTTCTGTAATTGATAACCAGTCAAACGGGGTTTAATTTGTAGGGGTGGGGAAATAGAATGCATAGGCAAAGCAAGAATACGTAGTTCATAGTACAACATATTTCCATTTTCTACATAATGGTTTTAAGAAACTTTCAAATCTTTTCATGAGGTGATTTCTTTTAAAATCTGTAAATATTTACACAAAAGTGCCTTTAGATATGAGTCAACTATACTCAATAGCTTAAATCATAAAATTCCAGTCAGCACAGTGAGCACACATTTCTTACACCACAAAATTCTTGACCATAAGAAGCTGGGGAAAAAATGTGATTTATATATATAAAACCTCTAAATTGAATATAAATAGTAAAATAAAACTAGAAAATATACATCTATTAATTTATACCTGGCTTTGATTCTGATACTTATCAAATGAATTTCCTCACCTATTAATATTGGCAATATAATGAGTGATAGTAATCAAAATATGATGGCTGTAACATATATGTTCCTAAACACAAAATATGTTTTTCTTTTTTTTTACAAAATTTAATAGAACTTCAAATTTTCCCTGAGGCTATCCCATCTGAAATAAACTACCCTCATGGAATTTAGGTGTGATTTAGTGTAAATATTTAAATAAAAATAAATATTGACAAATAGTGATATTCATTTTAAACATTTTCTGGAATAAATTCCGAATTGGTAGGCTCTTGGTTGAAAAATTACCATATTTTAAAAAATAAATATAGACACATATATTTACTTAAGATACATATGTATACCTTTATAAGGATATATATATTCTTTAATTTTTGTTGCTATTTGTGTATAAGATGCTGTTTAGCTGCTAAGCAAAAATACTTAGAATGTTTTTTGAATTAACACTCATACAAAGAAATAGATACTAGATATACATACATAAGCTATACAGGTGGCAGAGATTTAGAATTACCAAACTGATATTTGTTAATGGATTTAATTAGACTCTTTGAGAATAGAGATAAAAATATTGAATGAATGGCAAATAAATTTAGACATACAATTTACACAATCTAAGATTAGTATAAGAAAATAAAATGTGAGTCCATATTTAAGATTGTTGAGGAATGCTATCAGATATCTGTTCTAAATTAAAGTTTGAATCTCTTCGGTTAAAAATTGTTGGACAGACTAATCCAAGTAATCATAATATTATTTCTACATGAATGGGATGAAAGAACTACATCCTTTAATGAAAATATAACACTTAATCTTCAGAATAGAGGCTTCAAATTTAGCCCTTACCTTGGCCAATATTTATACAGGAAAAAAATTCAATAAATATTGTCAGATGGAATAAGTAAATTAATTAATAAATGAAAGTTACAGGATAGAACTGTTTTACTAATGCTTTGAGATGATGAAATAAAATTGGAT
This sequence comes from Homo sapiens, assembly GCF_000001405.40. Taxonomy (NCBI): domain Eukaryota; kingdom Metazoa; phylum Chordata; class Mammalia; order Primates; family Hominidae; genus Homo; species Homo sapiens. The sequence continues at coordinate 157,368,691 of NC_000004.12, read as the reverse complement.
CTGGATACCAAAAACATTTTCTGCACCAAGTGGCACTCCAAACATGAACCCATTTCTTTAAACCATTATTTTTAAAAGACACATTGTTGCATCCTATCTTTAATAATCATATCAAATTCCCTGTCATCGTTCCAGTGAGACAGTCCTAGTGTCCAAATACTCCAGTTGAGGAGACAAAGAGAAGCAAGAGAAAAAGGGAAAGTAAAGCTAGAATCCTGGTTTTGACTACCTCCCAAGACTTAATCCACTCCCCCACATTCCAATTTACAGTAAAATGAAATTGGCACATTAACCTGAAAGGGAAAAAAAAGAAAGAAAAATGACCAAATTCATTCAGCTAATTCAGGCATATCCAATGAAGTAATAGTGAGTTTATGCATATCGAAAAAGCAATTTGGCTCTTAAATAGCAAAATTTACTTATACCTAGTGGGAAAAAAGGAATTAAGGAATAATCTGGAAGTGCTTGAGAATGAAATTAAAATGGAGAATTGGCTTGTGCTCAGTGTCAAGTGGCTTTAAAAGAGAATTCTGATAAGCAAACACTCAAATAGAGTTCTCATTCTTCCTGTGTCATAGAAGAGACCCTCGTTTCCTACAGAAACTCTATAAATTTTGGAACTCTGTAAATACATGGAGGAATATAACAAATTGGCAATTATGGAATCAGAATATGTGAGAAATGCTGAAATAGAGCTTAACAAGAAATTTTATTTCACAAGAGAAATCCTTAGTCATTTATTATAGTTATTAAGTAGACTCTGAAACTGTCAGTCATGTCTTTGATAAAATGAACTGCATTTCAAGTGCCCACAAAGCAAAATCTGTTAGAATAGGCAAGCTAGAAATAGATGGAATAACATGAAAAAAAAAGCAAAATGAATGAAACTACAAAATGAGATACCATTTAAAGTATAATAGGTATAAAAATGGCAGTAGTATTTAAGGGCAAGAAGAGATCATAAAATGGTAAAGCAAGAAGAAATGAATAGAGACAGGATATAAAACACATAGACAGATTCTTATGAACTGGATTTACTCTAGGTACTATTCTATATTCACTGGATCTTACAGCTTTTGTTTTAGTCCCCCTGTTTAAATATCATCATGCTTACATAAGTATGTTTGAACCTCTCTGTACTTGGAGTGCCATATGCTGTCTATGTTTTGTTTTAAAACACATAAATAGAGAAAGTATAATTTCCTGATTAGTAGCTAATAGAATTTCTGTTGTCATGGTCTTGCCAAAACAACACATTAAGAGAATGAATCCCTTCCTGCTTAAAATGTGATACAACTTTTACAAACCTTTTAATGCATTTCCAAATTTTCATTCAGAAGATCATGATGATTCACTTATACTTACCCATCTTTTATGTTGGTGATTAAAAATAAACCTATTTTAAGTATGAGAACTCTTTGCACAAAATTTGCTCTATTTTTAAACAGATATTTATATTCTGATATTTCCTTTAACAAGTTGTTGAGAGTACATATAAAATTTGGGAAATGTAACCAAAATAGTCTCTGAAGCCCACAGAATATTATTATTAATAATCATATATTATCAATTAACATTGATAATAATGACAACTTTTGTGGCTAAGTCAATCAAACCACTTACTTCAAAAAGAAATATATAATCAGTTTTATCCAGCAGAAAAAAAATGTAAATATCCAGAAATACATTCTAACCTAGAAGTGATTCTTGGCTTGTTTAAACTTGCTAGACCGGTACCTCTAGGAAATGATGAGATTGGGAGTAGAAGAAAGGGGAGAAATCACATTTTGCCATATTCTAATTAATTTCAACAAATGTTTTTTAAATGATATTGTTAAGGTGTTGTATTGGAAATCATCCTGTAGCTTTCTTATATTGCTAATGCTTCCCTTCATTTTTCCTATTTGCTATCATGACCACCAAAATATTTAAAATATCTGCAGATTTGAAAATTAAGATCTCCAACTGTTATCTTAAGCAGATTCATTGGTATATTTATGTATGAAACATTAAATCTATTAAAATCTATAAAATTAAAAGGTGTTAATGTGTAACTTTGAAAAACTATAGTGTCTTAATAATTTTTGAATATTTGTGGATAGAATTACCTAAAAAATGATTATCTTTGTAAAAAAAACTGAATGCGGCAAGAATTTTAGCTTCTCATTAACACTCTCTTTCAGTACAATACTGAAAGAACACCTTTTTGTAAACACATTATGGAATTTTTAAAGTAAGTCACCTTTCTGCTGTTTAATGTGACTATCACAGCAGCTGAATGGATAACATACAATGGAATGGTTGGTGATGGTATTGCCTGATCTTGTAGTAGCAGGGTATATCTATAATAAAATGAGTAATATAATTCATAGCCATATTCCTACATATACGTGAAGCACTTAATGAGTGTAGGTATGAATGACCTGAATTGTTAATTATTTTAGCTTACAAAATTTTTTTTATTCTGTTACCTTCGTACTTAGCTGATAAATAAATTGAGCAAAGATGTCCTCATTCAGTAGGAACAGTTGGGTTTGTTTGGGAATAAACTTAGATACACTTTTTGGTCTCACTGTTATTAGTTTGAAGTACTATTAAGTAAAAAAAATAAAGATCTTTGCCTTTTGTAAGAACATGTTTTATGTATGATTGAAGTTTTTACAACACTCCGGAAAAGCCATCCGATGTTAGATTTAAAAATAAAATCGAAAGCATTTTCTGACATAGTACACATGAAAAATTGGAAATTCCAATATCTTCAATAGAAGTTATAGAAAGTGTATGTCTTCTTGGAGTTTGACACCCACTTAACACAGCAGAAAATAAGGTACTATACTGTAAACAAAAAAGTACAGTAAAGGACAATTGTAAATTTACATAAGAATAGTTCATAAACATTTTGGTCTTTCCATAACAGTTTTTATATAAAATGAATAAAAAAACCTTTAGACAGCTGTCATCACTCTTGTTTGACCACTTTTCACTTATATGCACACAGACATATTTATATAGCAATATATTGATGCACCGTTACATGGATATTAAACTATGAGTACTGCTTGTAACTGAGATGTGCATTATCCAATCAACATTATCCATAGTTGAAATACTCTTACATTATGTATTCTTGTCATGTTGTATCTATAAAAACATGAAAATATAACTTTACATTATTTCAATTATTTACATTAGTTCAAGCTTGACAGAGAAAAATCGATAAGCTACAATTTTTAGAAGAGTAGGCCCAGAGGTACAATAAATAGCATTGATTGTATATAGTCATTTCTTTTTCACTTTTAAAAACTCATTTTAAGTACAATATGGAAACAATTAGTCTGCAATTTGGTCATTCTAGCACTTATTATTAAAACTTAAAATGCACCTCCAGCATTCCTGATGAGGAGAAATGCACTAAAATTATATTATATTACCTTAGGATCTGTGATTAGGGACAGCTAAATTTAGTGAAGAATATCATGATACCACATGCCTCCATGTTCAATGCAAGTGCTTACTGTTAAACCTTACATTTTTCCTTCCCTTCTATGAAATACGGTAAGTAAGAATGTTTTAAAAGCACTTTGCAAAATACCAAGTGCTACACAAAGGCTTTCTTCCAGAAATAACAAGAATACAAATATTAAAAATAACTATTGGATGTCAATAATCATTCAAAATCCTAAATTAATTAAACTTGGGGGGCTTTAATGGAAATAAGAGGTATTTTATGAAGGGAAAGATAGATCCTTTAAATTCATTAACTAGATAAATATAGGCTCTTTAGTCAAAAGTTACAGAAATGTGACATTTTATCCACACTGGGCATATTAAAATAGCCATTCCACCTGAGGAATAAATATAAAAATAATATATTAGGGTTATTTTTAATTGATGTCAATGGGATGAAACTATATTGCAGGAGACTCAAACATATTTTAAAATTCATAATATATAAAGTTTATGACAGCTTTTATAATTTTAAAGCTAAAAACATATTTAGTTTTTGGAATTTAATCAATGGGCAACTATCTAAAGAATTACTTTCAAGGCATTTTTTACTTCATTTAAAATGAATGTTTCTCTTCTGTAAGCTCAAACACTTTAAAAATGGAACTTCACGTATTCTGGTATTTGTTAATATTAGCTTTTTAAATCTATTAGCATTTATCTACATAGATCAAATGCTTTTGTGTTAACAAATATTTCTTTATATATATATATATTTAGACATGTCAAAAAGATATTCAGATATTACTTTGGGGGCAAGATTACATTTGAAAAATCACCTGGCCTTTTTAAAAGGGAGAAATTTTCTCTGGGCACCTAACAACTTGGTAGTGTCTTTAAACTCACTTGATTTATGACCAAACTGTAGCTAAGCAAAATTAATTGGACCACTTGCAATAAAACAATAGAAAAATGTTTATTTCAAATGTCAAGCATTGCCAAGTAATTTTATATTAACACCAAATGTTAAAGAATAGGATACATTAAAGTTTTAATAACAATATTAAATTACAAGATTGGAATCTCCTCTTTGTTTACTTTCCTTAGCATTTACATATTTGGCTTTGAAAAATATGGAATCGATACCTAAAGCCTTTTTTTATTCACTTCCCACTCAGTTTAATTGTTTTTGTCTTATTCAACCAATATGGAAGCAAATTTATTTAAAAGCCAGTTTGTTTGTGAAAATACCTAAAAATATTTTTTAGTTTTAAATGTTTTTTTTCCTTTTTTTATAAAACATGTCACATCTTGATGCAGTTGATGTCAAGTGTGCTTAAGTCATTATGAATCAAGAGACTAACAATAGTGGCTGCAGAAACAGGTTTGTTGTCTGTACAAAGACTTCAGGTAAATTATAGTACTTCCATGTTAGCTGTGCATGTCCACCACGCTTTGTCTGTAACTCGAGTAGAAAAAGATGTTGTGTTTTAATTAATCATTCCTTACAATTCAAGATGAACTCCACATATTTAAGAATTCTTGGCTGAAAGAAAAGTCTTCAAGATACTGGATGCCTCTCACCACTTTGACAATAAACACACAAGAAAACCATTGTGTAAGGCACTCAAAAGGTTCTTATCAATCACGAGAGATCAGTCACACTGACATTCATTCCCATGCCAGGACTCACGTAAGGGACAGCATGCACTGCTTTGGGAAATTCTGGAGTCATAACACGTCCATTTTCTCCAGTACTTCCTGTAATTGACAGCCTTGCCTTGTTCCTCATGGCATCATTCAAGGTCATCTTAAATGAGAGAGGAGGGAAAGAAAGAAAAAGAAATCATACGTTATGGTTTTCAAATGCATCCAGAGGAAAGGCAGGGTTGTTTTTGAAAAGTTTACTTCTATCTGAAAGCTTCTAGCAAATGAAAGCAAACAGTGCAAAGCTGAACTACAAATAATAAAGCACAATTATGGCAGGAATCTGTCCACATTCACCCAAGCTACTGTGCCATTAAAGAGGAAAATAGACAGTTGAGCTGCAGGTTAGTCACCAACTGGGAACATGGAAGAACGTCAACAATACATACAGGATGATCCATTGGCCACCTTCCTTATTTAAAAGAGCTTAAGGACGCAACAAGAAAGCTAAACGTGCACTAAAAAGTTTGTATTAGAGCCTCGTTCCTACCCCCTAAATTTTAACACTTTCGATGCCATATACGTTGTAACCTTCCTTATAAGTTGCAAAATTCTGTGAATTCTGCGAGGAAGATGGGTTAATATTCTGTGCATTCTTTGCCACCTTCATTCGTTTCGCCTCGGCCCTTGACTTGTAACAGAACTCAATCAAAGCCACCAGCATTGCCAAACCAAGGCCCCCGACAAGGATGTAGAATACTCCAGCAACGTTGCTCAGACTGAGGGCACTGGTCTTTTCCTAAAGAATGTATATGAGAAGAGGTTATTAGGAAGGCAAACTGGTGAATAGAAGAGAACAGCAATGTCACATAGCATTATCACGGGAACAACCTAGTCACACAGAATGCATTTGAATTTGAGAAACAATGGATTTTCTCTTAGATGGTCCATTTTCATAACAGCTACCATGAAACAACATAAAATTTAGCTTAAGATTTTGGTGGACTCAATCGACTACCTGCAGGGAATAAACTTCTATTTATTCATTTCTTAAACATTTCCCTGGCTATGTCAGTTGCAGTGATAAATTGATAAATAGTTATATTCCATTACCGTGGGAAAAATTGAAGGTACAAGACAGTTTCTTCATCCTATAAATAATCTGGTAAAGCTGACAGCGAACAGGGCTAAAATAAACCATACGTGTGATTGTAGAAGCAAGTTTTAAATGTTGACCATGTTACTGGCTTAGTAGAGTCATAAATGGAGGACTGACCACATTTCCAATCCCTCAAAGTACTAAGATGGCTAAGATAAACCTTCAGGAAGTTATCCTGCAATATGTTGGCTGGTGAAGGTTCCAGTACATTCTCACTCTCCAAGTAGGCTTTGGACATGTTTAGAATTGCAGTGTACCATTTTTGATCTCTTGGTCTCCAAAATTCATCCCCTCAGTGTACTCTCATCCACTAGACTACATCTCACAACAAAGCTTTGCCATTCAATACAAACAGAGCACACATGATGCACACGAATAGTCTTGCCAATCAGTGATACTATAGATGCTGCAACTGTGCCATCAAAACAGACAAGGAAAACACACATCCCTATAATCACTTAATCTTAAGTGTTTCATTAATGTTCTCATTAGGCCATTTACTCTATTTCAGTATGTTGCTGTTTCATGCACTATTATGTATGAGTTAGACATGAACACAGACTGAAATAAATATATTAAATGCATATACTATATTTAAAATAAAATAAAAACAACAAATCAGTAACTCTGCAGGCATTACCAAAACATCTTACCAAATTATGCATCTCATGCATATTTGCATTTACATTCTATTTAAGATGGGTCATTCCCACTAACACACTTGTGGTTTGATTTTGCTGTTTGTGTTTGATTTTGTTTTTTCACATAAAACCTGCAGCAACTGACCTTACTTCCAGAGTCCTTGGCTCCACATTCACCTTTATCGTACCACCATTTGTTTTTCAGCTTGTCTAAGACGCCTTGCTCACTGAGTTTCAATACTGCAAGATTTACTGGGGTTCTTCACGTGGAAAATAACATAAATAACATTATCAATGTTATTTTATGTTATTCATTACATAATACTGATTCAAGAGCTTTGTAAGAGCGATAGTCATTGATGCGCCATTTGGCCTAAGCAAACGGTAAGATTTGCAGAGCCAAATGAGCATTAATGTATCGCTGGAAGTAACCAGCAGGTGCAACAGTTTGCAACAAATCCATTAGTTACAAATTTTTCCTTGAGATATGGAGAAAGAGAGGGAAAGAGAAGTAGAGGAAGAAAGAAAGAAGAAGTCAAGTGTCCTGGTCATCCAATTGCACTCTTCAGCTTAGCGTTGGAAACTTGGTGGCACGGAGTGCCCACACTGTGCATAGCTGCTGCTTACTTTGTTTTGCATTGAGTTACCCATTACTTTTCTCACTGGGGCTGACCTTGGAATCACCTCCCCCGCTGCCGCACTCTCCTTTGTCGTACCACCATTTGTTTTTCAATTTGTCCAACAGGCCTTGTTCATTCAGTTTTAGTACTGCGAGGTTAACCGCATTTCTTGAAACGATAAAACATACTTGTCAGACAGGGTGAGCAAATTTTAGACTTTTTGTTTGTTTTGTTTTAATTTGTTTTTCTTTGGCTTCTGTGGCAACTCTTGTCACAAAAAAATGAAGTGGGAAAAAGGCCACAATAATATGTTACTATGAGCTACTAAAAATCTGAAACTTTGGGTAAGGTGGTAGAGCATAACAAAAAGAAAATAAAGGAAAGAGTGCTAATATGGGGAGTTCTATATTCTACAGCAATGTACTCACATCCACAACAAACAAATAACAGTGTCTTGAATGTGACTCCACTAAAAAAAAAACAAACGACAAAATAGGAATACAAAGAGTTAACTACATAGTAAAGAGATGTGTGCAAAGAAATTCAAAGTGCATTTTCCTTTCCCCAAAGTATATCCCTTAAACAAAAATTAAAATGAAAATTAAAAAGTGGCATATTTCTCAGTTAGTTATTTCAGTTTACTGTTAGGATACAGCCATTTGCTTAGTCTGTATGCAGAGTGTTTGTAAGCAGGCTGGTAGACTGACAAGGTAGTTAGAAATGTGGAAAAAAAAACTCAAACAAAGTAAAGCTAAACAAACATGTATTCCTTAAAATGAATGTGTTTTAACTCTTAAAGGAAAAAAAAAAGGATATGTTTTAAAACAAAGCAAACCAAACAAAACAAAATCCTGTCATAAATATATAAAACAGTATCTAAATGTTTAAAAACATTCAGAAACGTTTTTTGGTCATTTTTGTGATGGTGAGTTACCTCATATCCGTATACAAACCGTAAGAGAGTCTTAAAGATACATCAGGGTAGGTGGGATACTATAACAACATTTAGCATATTGTTATACTATTCCACCCACCTTAATGAGGATCCTTTAGGTGTTGCGATGCCATAGCCTTTGGAATCCAGGTTTCCACCAACTTTCATGGTGTCGCAAGGCTTCCTTTGCTCAATGTACTCGTTCATCGTGGACTCCAACAAGTAGGCATATTTCCCTTTGGACTTCCGCACTCTAGCCACCCCTTCGGCCGTAGTCCTCACAAACACAGAGGGCTCCGCACTCCGCATGTAGGTCCACATTTTATCAAACACTGCAATTTTAGATCTCTGCAGGAAAAGTAAGGGGCCAGATAGCATTAAGAGATGGCCCTAAAAAATTACTCACAAAACACAAAAAGAGGTATTACTTTTCAAAACATAGATGATATACACAATATGAACAAATCTCATCTTTCAACAATTTTTTTCACTAATAACAATTCTATGAAATTGTTATTATGCCAAATCATTTTTAATAGATTCGCAAGGACCTGAAACATCGATTTACTATGGTAAACAAAATACTGTATATCTAGAAGTAATCTGAAATAGTCACAATCCAAAATAAATTGAAAAATGCACTATACTATCTATAGGAATAATTCAAATTAGGAGACAACAAAAAGGATATCTTTGCTGCCCAAATCCTAAATGGTCGATTCCTAATTAGTGGTAGAACAGGATCTGTGTAATGTGGGTTGGTCAGGCATGTAAGTGGTGAGATTCTAATGAAATGCCTATTCGCTGTGGAATAAAGATAATATTACGCTGGAAACTTCTATCTAATACTGACTGAAACATTTCTAGAATAACACTGATTTTTAAAAGAATATTCTTTGGCCATTGAAGTTTTCTTTTAATTAAACAGGACTTTTTTCTTTGAATATTTAAACACCAAAATCCTATTTATTTCAAGATATACTGGAAAAAAACCAACATTCTTATCAGTGACAGATATGAAAGAAAGAAAGGCTAATTGAAACTGTATTATTAAAGGAATATTTATCTTAAAACTTAATGGACTCAAAAGCAAAGATACACATCAAAAGAGTCATTGAATACTTCCTATTCAGACTCAAAAGAAGCTGAGCATAGAGTTGGAAAGTCAAAGCATTTGAATGTCTGCTTATTTTTCTATTCACAACTTTCTCATGACTTTAATCCCTTTTGGGAAGATGACTTTGAATAACCCCTTTTGTTATTTTAATTTAGTAAGTTTGAAATGAAAAATTGAAATCGAAGACTTACTTTTAAAACTTAAGAGGTTTGGGGGGGGTTTGTTTGTTTTTTATTCTAAGGAATTTAAAAAATATAACTTTTACCTTACAAAAAGCAGACATATGATATAAATCCAAATGGTTTATAATACTGCTCTGAGGATTCAGGTAGCTTTACATATAAAAGCACTCTATTTTGGTGAAAATCTTGGGTCAAGTGCAAATAGAGTATAGAGTATGCTTGTGTCACTGGGGTTTATGATAGCATAACAGAGATGCTCAGACTTAAGTTGTGTTTCTCACTGTCACCATTGGAGTAGGGGCTGTTGTATTGAGACAGGCTCATGGATCATTTCAGCTCAGTGGTCTATGCAGGCAGAAGGCCAGCTGTCTCCTGAAAAAGGCACTTTAACTCTAAAGATATGTCAACATTCCTTACTTCTTAATACTTATTCTCTCACCTAATTAAGTAAACCACTGTTAAATCTATTACCAAACAATGCCGCTTCAGATTTTAGATTTTAAAATTCATTACCTAGTGAATCAAGCTTTCTTTCTGTTGTAAAAGCATATCTATGAGAGTGAAAATTTTACTAGGACCCCAGCTATGTTTAGCATGAAGCTTTGTACATAGTAGGTTCTTAATAAATGTATTCTAATTAGCTATTTTGTGATTTAGTTAGGAATGAAAAACCATTTTTGCTTTTTCTGAAACTTTGCCTACTGTAGAAACTGCTTGTTTGTGTTTTCTCCTATAGTCTGCCTTCATATTCTCAACCAAATTGAAAGATTAGTTATAGCATTTGAGTTTGATTAAATAGGAAGCAATCTGGCTAAACCTCAAAGTTTTTTTGTAATGTGAATTCTCACAAAAACATGACGTCAATATCACAATTTTGGAACAAAATCACAGGCTGATAAAGAAGAGTTCAAAATGATGACACAATTATTTTATCAAATCATCCATTAAATGTCAATTTTTCCAAGTTTAAAATATCAATTTTGAGGCATTAAAATATTACATGAAATATGAATGCCCTTCAGAGAAAATTCAAAAATTAGCAATAACATTTTCTGTTTCATTCATAAAATATTTTCGGCTGGTTTTAAGAATATTTCTCTAAGTGTAAATATAATATTTCCAAGAATGAAAGGATTTTAAAATACAATCTAGAAAAAAAATGGACCTAGCTACTTTCGTCTCAGCTGTTGATCGCTGTCTTTGCAGTTTGAATCATTTAGAAGATATATTAGTTCTGGTATGTTAGGTCATTAGTTCTGGTATGTTAGGTCACCTAGACATACAAGTTCTGTTAGTCATTTTTTTATAATGAGGCTTCACATGTATTATAACATATATGACATATTCTTATGAGGAGCATGATTTTATGATGTAATTGTAGATTAATAACATCTATAAAGTATCTGAGACTTTAAAATACACATTGATGATACTGAATCAGACTGAAAGTAACTTTTTTCATAAGTCAGAATTTCTGTAAGATAGACAATTTTTCCTCAGCTAAATCATTTGGCTCACAGTTTTTAGTTTACTGTTCCCTTTTTTAACAAAGTTAATAAAATGTTTTCATGACCCTATCTTTTCAAGAGCTATTGTTTGAACATATTTAGCCAAAGGTAGACAAATAAGATAACTCATAGACATTATAATACTGTTCTGTTGAAAACTGCGATTCATTAGGACAAGACATTTACTAATTTGAATTTCACAGCTACTTTCAAAACAAGAATTAGAGGAATCTGATGACATTCTTACTGAGAGACAATTCAGAATATATGCATTTACTTTCTATTAAACATATCAGAAAGAGTCTTAGACTAAATAATAAAAATGATGCCTAGAAATCTTGATTTTCTCCAAAACCATAGCAAAAATAAAAAAGTAACCAGCAGAAAAACATTCCAAAGGTAAAGCAAAGTTTTGGGCTTCTCATCTAAGAAGATGCATGATAAATTATAGTTATTTTTCATTAGGTTGGTGCAGAAGTAATTGCTGTTTTTGCCACTACTTTCAATGGCAGAACCACAATTACTTTTGTGCCAACCTAGTAGGTTAATGTAGGTGACAGTGTTTAGTTTGGCCTAATTCATATATTTGTGGTCTACCTGATGCACTGGGGAGCACACTACAATCATCGGATCCACTCCAGCCTCTTGACCACTTATTTCTTATAATATATTTACAAATACACTAAAAAATAATGTAATACCATGTGGTCAACTAAGATACTGTTCTTAATAGCATTTCCTGTTAAAATTTTGGAATCCAGCAATTTCATGTTACATGCACACATTGTTCTACCAAAAGCACCCAGATAATTTAAGCAATTGTAAAGAAAATGCAAATCAAAGACAAATCGAATTGCCTCAATTAGCCCCTTTGTGTGGACTTTGGAGATGAACGCCAGGCAATGATGATCACCACCCTCATAAGCAACATCTACATTTGAGCAAATTTTACCAAAGTAGAAGAGGGAACACAGGCAAGCCATACACACTTTTAAAATAAACCACATAATTTCCCATCATCTGTAATACTGATCTGAATGCTGGTCCAGAGAAGAACATGATGCAATGCAAAAGGAAAACACAGGGGTTGACAATCATTTCTGTCAAGATGGCCCCAGGGAAGAGTTACAAGTCTTTCTCAGGAACAACTGCACCTTGATTTTCTACCTCTTTCGCAAATCTACATGCTGCTTTTCACGAAATTTAAACTCTCTCTCTCTATATAAATATATATATAAATATATATAAATAAATATATAAATATATATAAATATATATAAATAAATAAATATAAATATATAAATATATATAAATATATATAAATAAATAAATATAAATATATAAATATATATAAATAAATAAATATAAATATATAAATATATATAAATACATATATAAATAAATATAAATATATAAATATATATAAATACATATATAAATATATATAAATATATAAATATATATATTAATATACATAAATATATAAATATATATTAATATATAAATATATATAAATATATTAATATATATATATTTATATATAAATATATTAATATATATAAATATGTTAATATATACATATATATAAATAAATATATAAAAATATATATAAATATATATAACTAATATATAAATATATATAACTAATATATATAAATATATAAATATATATAACTAATATATGTAAATATATAAATAAATATATAAATAAATATATAAATAAATATATACAAATATATATAAATAAATATATAAATAAATATATAAAAATAAATATAAATAAATATATAAATAAATATATATAAATAAATATATATAAATAAATATATATAAATATATATATAAATAAATATATATATATATTTCCCATACAGCTAAGCCAAGGAAGACTGTGTATTTTTTTTTTTTGACATGAAGTCTCGTTCTTGTCCCCCAGGCTGGAGTGCAATGGCATGATCTCGGCTCACTGCAACTTCTGCCTCTTGGCTTCAAGCAATTCTCCTGCCTCAGCCTCCTGGGTAGCTGGGATTACAGGCACGTGCCACCACGCCTGGCTAATTTTTGTATTTTTAGTAGAGATGGGGTTTCACCATGTTGGCCAGGCTGGTCTTGAACTCCTGACCTCAGGTGATCCGCCTGCTTTGGCCTCCCAAAGTGCTGGGATTACAGGCGTGAGCCACTGTGCCCGGCCGGAAGACTGTGTATTTTGAAGTTACATGTTAAATCAAATACAATCATTCTTTAAGCAAGTATAATAAAGTGAAATGAAATAATTCAGGATGACATTGAGACAAGCAGGCTGGTTGGTTCCCTGTTTTAATATGAGCTGGAGAAAAATGATAAAAGCCCCTCACTCAAGCTCTAGCTTATCTAACTCTCAGTCAATCAGTAACAAAAGACCCAAGAAGCTCTTAATTGTAAGTTTTTATTTCAGAAGGTTAGGGTCTTCCCTGGAGCCACTGCATGCACAGTTAGAATTAAACTCCAACCTATAGTTACCCCTTCCTTATTTTAATGGTATAAATAGTTCCCAGGGGGGAAGACTTAAAATGCTAATGCTACATATGACATATGTAGCATGTTGCGCCACTGCCCAAGCTCTAGAAAAGTCCTGACAGAATCCTTCCCTATAGAAAGATCCTATAAAACTAACATACGCACTACCCTAATGGAGCATTCTTTTCCCCTCTCAGTGCTGGGACCCTTGTGCACAAGCTAAATAAACTTCATTTTTGCTGCTATAACTGGTAGTTTCTCTTGATTTCTATCCTGGGAGACTGCAAGAACCCAGTGCACCAGTAACAACATCTGCCATCACATTTTGATGAGGAGAAAAATGATGCCTACAGTTTAATCTGGTGCATACTTTGACTTCTCTGTGTTTCTTAAGAAGTCAAGTTTCTTTAAACATAGCTATTCAAATCTTTTTCCATGGTTTTGTGTTATTAATAGGCATATCAGTCCAACTAATAATTCACAGAAAATAACAGTGTATCATATTAATATCCTTAAAGAGTCAAAGGAAAAACATGCTCATTGTCTAGCATTGTTGAAGAAACATTTCATATAAATTAAGCACGCCTGAATAATAAAGTTGTGTTGTACCAATAAAGATTTTCACAGAGCTTAATTCCATTGACTTACTACTTCTTATTCATTTGGCTAAAGATGGTAGGTTTTTGCTTATATATTAATTTTATTTTACACAAAAACTACATCATATATTACCTATATGAAATTAAAAACTTAATGGTAAATACTTGAAGTCAATAAAAATATTTCTCTCGACATTCCTTTGCACATTAAGCTCTCCTAAAATGTCATGTTTCAGTTTTTGGATTAAAAGAATTTGTATTCAAACTGTCAATTCCATGAAGTAATGAATCAAGTGAGCATAAAATATTTTTCGAATCATTAAAATCAGATGCATGAGGTAATCATGACATTTTATATGAAAACTCACAATGTTTCTGTTTTTTATTAAAATATAATAAATTAGTTTTTTATAAAGGGTTACAGTTAATAAAATAGTTTAAAGAAAAGTAGTTTGATTTTTCATGAAAATTTTTCTATACGATTAATTTATCATTTTAAATAAAACTAATTTTAAAATATTAACAAGATTTGCATTAAATTGTACTTCTAACACTAAAATAATGTAATTTCTCAGCTTCTTAAAAATGTAAATGGTATTTATTGACAATTATAACTATAAGGTTTTTTTGTTTTTTTGTTTGTTTGTTTGTTTGTTTTTGAGACGGAGTCTGGCTCTGTAGCCCAGGCTGGAGTGCAGTGGCTCTATCTCCTATCTCGGCTCACTGCAAGCTCCACCTCCCGGGTTCATGCCATTCTCCTGCCTCAGCCTCCCAAGTAGCTGGGACTACAGGCGCCCACCACCACACCTGGCTAATTTTTTTTTTTATTATTTTTATTAGAGACGGGGTTTCATCGTGTTAGCCAGGATGGTCTCAATCTCCTGACCTCGTTGTCCGCCCACCTTGGCCTCCCAAAGTGCTGGGATTACAGGCGTGAGCCACCACGCCCTGGCCAACTATAAGGTTTTGTTTTGTTTTGTTTTGTTTTTGAGACAGAGTTTTGCTCTTGTTGCCCAGACTGGAGTGCAATGGCGCCATCTTGGCTCACCATAACCTCCACCTCCCAGGTTCAAGCTATTCTCCTGCCTCAGCCTCCAGAGTAGCTGGGATTACAGGCATGCGCCACCACGCTGGTCTAATTTTGTATTTTTAGTAGAGACAGGGTTTCTCCTTGTTGGTCAAGCTGGTCTCAAACTCCCGACCTCAGGTGATCCACCCACCTCGGCCTCCCAAAGTGCTGGGATTACAGGCGTGAGCTAGCACGCCTGGCCTGTTTTGTTTTTTGAGATGAAGTCTCGCTCTGTCGCCCAGGCTGAAGTGCAGTGGCACGATCTCGGCTCACTGTAATCTCCGCCTCCCATTTCAAGTAATTCTCCTGCCTCAGCCTCTCCGGTAGCTGGGATTACAGGCGCCCGCCAACACGCCTAACTAATTTTTGTGTTTTTAGTAGAGACAGGGTTTCACTATGCTGGTCAGGCTGGTCTCAAATTCAAATTCCTGACCTCAGTTGATCCACCTGCCTCAGCCTTTTAAAGTGCTGGGATTATGGGTGTGCACCACCATGCCGGGCCTATAAGTGTTTTTGTTGTTGTTGTTGTGTGTGTTTTTTTTTTTTTTTTTTTTAGATGGAGTCTTACTCTGTCGCCTAGGCTGGAGTGCAATGGCATGGTCTCTGCTCACTGCAAACTCCACCTCCTGGGTTCAAGCGATTCTCCTGCCTCAGTGTCCGGAATAGTTAGGATTACAGGCGCCCATCACCACACCCGGCTATTTATTTTTTGTATTTTTAGTAGAGATGGGGTTTCATCATGTTGGCCAGGCTGCTGTTGAACTCCTGACCTCGTGATCCACCTGCCTTGGCCTCCCAAAGTGCTGAGATTACAGGCATGAGCCACCGTGCCTGGTCAACTATAAGTATTTTTAACAGTTTATGGTTTTCAAATGATTAGTACTAGAATGAATCTTAAAAATCTAAAAATTTTACAATCTAAGCCCTTTATTATAGAATCAAGATTCAAAAAGATTACCTTTCCTAAGTTAGCATAGCTCATTAGCCCATAGAAGAACCAGGAATAACACCTGGATATCCAAATTTTCAATAGATGTGTATATACACTAAAGCATAAAAATCCTCAACATAGAGTTTAGATTAAAAATGTTTTGGTAAAAATAAAAAAGTCACTTAACAATATTATAAAACTTAGAGCAATCCAGTAAATATCTACATATAATTTATAAGTAAACTGAGGCTTGAGTAAATTAGAGGCTGTCGCAGCATTTTAATCCACCAGAAGTAAAGCTAGGTCTCAGAGCTCTCTTTGGCATTTTGAAATGACTCTCAAATGTGATAAAACTAGAGTCATGTCATATAAGTTCGTTTTCATACTGTTACAAAGAACTGGACAAGACTGCGTAATTTATAAAGGGAAGAAGTTTAATTCTCTCACAGTTCAGCATGGCTGGAGAGGACTCATTTAACTTAAAATTGTGGTGAAAGTCAAAAGGGAAGCAAGGCACCTTCTTCACAAGGTGGCGGGAAGAAGTATGGAGCAAAGGGTAAGAGCCACTTATAAAACCATCAGATCTCATGAGAACTCAGTCACTATCACAAGAACAGCATGGGGAAAACTGCCTCCATGAATCAGTTTCCTCCACTTGGTCTCTTCCTTGACACATGGGGATTATGGGGATTATAGGGATTGCAATTCAAGGTGAGATTTGGGTAGTGACCCAAAGGCTAGCCATATCACATGTTAATGCTTGTACTAGTCATAGAATCATATCTTTTTGGTAATTTTTATGCTTAAAAAACAATGACTTTAAAGTTGTCAATGCAAATGTTATTTCCATATGTTCTCATTACCTTACGAATGGTAAATTATATCATTAATGGAATGCCTACTCATTATACCTTATGTATTAACTATACGTGCACATATATGCATACAATGTGAACTGATAATGTAGAGGAAGAGCAAGTGATACCCCTATGACCCTGTCTTTCATTTTTTAATAGTGTTATTTTTAATAGTGTTATTCAATTGGCACATTCAAGATCTATCATGAACATCTTGATTACGATCAAAACACTTGAAAAGTATATCATATTTTTGTGCTTTAGGTAGAAAATTAGCTTTATCAAAATTAGGTGAGTTTGTGATGAAAATATCAATCATATTTAAAGAACATTGATTATTATTTCTTCATATACAAATGCTGATTTCAACAGAAGCTGTTGTTATACCACTGATTATATACTCATTTCCATTATGTCTAGTATTTCAGTCAACAATTTGGATGAAGATATACATGACAAATATTTCAAATTTGCAGATATTACTACTGTATATGATAGAACCAGTATTTCAATGTTATGAGATTAGGACAATGAGCAAAAAAAAAAAAAAAAAGAAAAAACTAATGTAAAATTAAACAGGAGTGAATGCAAAATCTGGCATGTAGCTTCAATCAGTTCATATTCATAGAATGGAATACATGAGGCTTACCACAATTCATTAAAATCAACCAGGTTTTCAGTAAACTTCAAATTAAGGCAAGCAATTAATTCCATGCAGTTACCAAAAAGCTAATAAACTTAAAGATTTTAAATGAAATTATAGAGTCTAGATAACAGAATTCTAATTTCAAATACTTTAAAGGCCAGGGAGGATATATAAGTAAGCAAAATAAATAGCAATAGAGTAATAGACAATGGTGTGATTGTAGTAACTGAAGAATACATGATTTCATTAGAGCCTTTTTTTTTTTCTCCATGTAAACACTGGGCCGCCTGAAGAACATGAATGTTCAGATTGAAATTGTGGTCTGAAATCTTAATTTTTGGATTCAGGTCAAGATCCTCAGAAATCACCACTAAAGAACTGATTCATGTAACCAAACACCACCTGTTCCCCCAAAATCTATTAAAAAAATTAAAAAGATCTTCTATAAGTAGATCAAATCAGACCCCAGATCTAGATACCGCACTGTAAGACTAACATGGACAAACTTGCAATTAAAATATATGAAAACCATAACAAGGGTTTGAAAATATAATAATTAATAGTTGAGGGAATTCAGAACTTTTAGGCTAGTGATGAGAAAAGTTATGAAAGAGATGATAGTTCTCTCCATATATTTGATGTATCTATAGTATGCAAAAGAAAGCAATTACTTAAGTCAGAATTAAGACAAATAAATGAAAATACTTAGGATACAAGTTTTGATCTTATAAGAACTTTCTAAAGACCATAACAATGAAAACAAAACAGAATAGATTGTCAATAAAAATAGTGACTCTTAACGAATTCATAAGGTACATTCAAGAATTGTTTGGATGATTAACTCAATAAATGTTATGATA
Organism: Homo sapiens; assembly: GCF_000001405.40. NCBI lineage: Eukaryota > Metazoa > Chordata > Mammalia > Primates > Hominidae > Homo > Homo sapiens. The sequence continues at coordinate 157,349,978 of NC_000004.12, read as the reverse complement.
TCTCTAAAATGAACAGAATTTGGAAACTAATTTGTAATCTAACTTCTGTGTTTGCAGATGATACGGACATTAGAGATTACCACAGAGAAGGAACTTATCTGCAATGTGAGAGTTGGCTTTTAAAATACTTTAATTCAGCATCTTGATCCAACCTCAACAACATGCATTCAGAAATAGGGCATTTTCAATGTTTGTGTATATGTGTGTGTGTTTATGCAATTAAAAAGTGAAAATAATTATGAGAAAAATTGGTTGTGTTAGCAAACTATCCTAATTTAAAAGTCTATGATATTCTTTTTCATTATAAATAAACAAATTTTAAGGCCAGCACAGTTGGTTTTTTGGAAACTAGGAACACTACTAGACCATTGGTGCTGTGCTCTATAAACCAGCTACCATTGCTTTAGGAAATATCTCTATATGTCCCACTGCCAAGCTAAAGAGTGGTGTTTCAATATTTTGAGGTTACAAAAAAGAACGAAAGAAGGAAGGAAGGAAGGAAGGAAGGGTGGGGGGAGGAAGCGGGGGAAGGAGGGAGGAAGGAAGGAAAGAAGGAAGATTTTAACAATCTTAAGAAAATTTGACTATGAAAAAAAAACAGCACTGAATTTGATTTCAAAATAAGGAAATGTACAAAAACCCTGGAACGCAGGAAGTAACATAAAAGGAAAAATGGCTGCAAATTCAAAGAGTACCCAGGAAAATCCCACTAATATACATAAGACAGAATGGGCCCCTTGTAGTATCAGTATAAATCCCTTTGGTAAGTCAAGGACCACGATACTTTCTACATTTCTTACCCTCAAATATCATATTACTAAGCCATAGATGGAAAGTGTATCTGTATCCTGAAATAAATGTTTGAAGACTCTGATCTCCATCTTTCTGATAAAAAGATCAAAGTTGTTCCATCAATAGTCACTGTCTGCCTTATAAAAGGATTTAGCTTAAGTCTGCATTCTTTTTGCTATGTCAGGAATGAAAGACTAGTCAGAAAAGTATTTGGAGCAAAATTATATAGGACAATGACTTCATAATTTTTATACACAGTTAAGAAAAGGTAATCTTATATATTTCATATTTGTATCATCAGATGCTAGCCACAGTAAAATGTCTGCAGTCATTTTAATGGTTGCTATTTCATTTTGAAAAGCATATAATTCATATAAGCAAATATTCATATAAGCCTCTAATTTTGTTTGTTTTATTTTAATGCTAATATGAGACTTTTAATTCTACTCAATATTGTTAAAGAAGCAACATAGACTAAAAAATCTGAGAGAGATACTATAAATTTTAAAATCTATAAAACATCCTCTACTATGATAAGATCTTTGTTCCTTTAAAGACACGATGAAATAGCATATTTTGGAACTTTGATAATATTTGTCATTGCTTGATTTGTCCAATGTCCATTTTATTTTTAAAATTTCATTTTTGGGCTGGGTGAGGTGGCTCATGCCTGTAATACCTGCATTCTGGGAGGCCGGGGTGGGAGGATCACTTGAGCCCAGGAGCTCGAGACCAGCCTGGGCAACATAGGGAGATCTCGTTTCTACAAAAAATTTAGAAACTAGCTGAGCATGGTGGTGAACACTTGTGGTCCCAGCTACTCAGGAGGATCAGTTCAAGCCAGGAGGTTGAGGTTGCAGCGAGCCATTACCATGCCACTGCACTGCAGCCTGGGTGACAGGGTGAGGCCCTGTTTGAAGAAACAAACAAAAGATCATTTCCCTATGAAAATAGCAGCCACCTTTACCAATTTCTTTGCTTTGGCTAATCACTTAGTAGGAGTCAGAGCAAAATTGTCTGCTAGAAATGCAAAATATAAATTACTTTAATATCAAATTTTCTTTTTTTTTTTGAGACAGAGCCTCACTCTGTTGCCCGGCTGGAGTGCAGTGGCGTGATCCCGGCTCACTGCAACCTCCACCTCCCAGGTTCAAGCTATTGTCCTGCCTCAGCCTCCCGAGTAGCTGGGCACGTGCCGTCACGCTCAGCTAATTTTTGTATTTTTAGTAGTGATGGGCTTTCACCATGTTGGCCAGGATGGTCTCAATCTCTTGACCTCGAGATCTGCCTGCCTTGGCCTCCCAAAGTGTTGGGATTACAGGCATGAGCCATCAAATTTTCCTTCAAATATCAAAAGTCTAATTGAAGAATGTTCAAAATTTTGTCGATAATACTTATATCTAGTTGAGATTTGGTCCCAATATATTTAAATAATTGAACAATTCTATTCTCTTCTCTATAGAGCTCTGGGACCATGTTTATTACCATGGCAACCAGTGTGAAAGATCCAACAGAGGTAGGCAGAGATCATTCTTTTACTTAAATACAATAATAAAGTGAATTGAAAACTAAGGCATTTAAAGCACCTGTACAATTTATTCTGAAATTAATATTCTCTCTGAAGCATTTAAACAGGAATTTTAGAAAGGTTTTGAAATGAGAGACTAATCCCAAATCACTTCTGTATTGTTTTAACCTTTCCTTCTAGATTAATCGTTCTCATGATCTGCTATTGGTATGAAAAGGAATGCTTTCTCTTTGGTATGGACAATAATAGAAAGCTTCCTGTAATCTTATTAGTCAAATTATTTAGCGAGTGTATGGCAAGAGTGGTCTTTAAAAGACACAATTGCATGGTTACAGAGCACATTGACATTGGCAAAGAATACTTATGGAAAGAGAATGACCAAAATAACACATGTACCCTGGAAAAAGCTGCCACTTTGCACAATAATTACAATTCAACAAGGGGACATACACCTTCCTTAGCATTGGATCACCAAAAACACATGATTCATTATGGCTTCTTCTACATCTCCTTATTTTTCTCTTCCTATGAAATTTAAGAACTACTGAATGAGCTGCACGGTCCTTAAACTGGGCAATACGTTTTAAAGGAAACATTTTGACCCTTCCTGTATTGTTAACCCAGCTAACGTTAGCTGAAATCAGAGATCATGGGTTCTACTGAAGGCAACTTAGGCTAAATGTATTCGTAAATACATTTAGGATGCTTTTTCAATTCAGTGCTTTCTCAGATGTTCTGTGGAATGGTGAGAAAAAATTAAAATGTCAGAGAAAGAAAAACTGCCAACCAGAGAGGAAATGATTTTAACATCTCCTGGATCATCTAGAGAAGGATTGGGCATGCAAGAATTGTCAGCTGTGCAGATTGTTCTGCTATAATCAAGCCCCCAAAAAACTGAGGAAGGAAAATTTGTAATAAATGACTAACCATGCATGAGTGACTTGCAACATATGTATACGATGCTATTTTTTCCTTATTTATTCACATTCAGCATTTATTTAATACCTACTATTTTTGAAACTATTTAAATATTTAAGCATTGGTGACAGATCTATGAAGGGTCTATTTCGATATGAGTAACGTTCTGCATATATAGAGACACAAATGGCTACACTCATTTTATTTCCAAAAGATTTGAAAGATAATTATATATTGATAAATAGATATATACATATGTATCATAGACATACATATTTCTGCCTTCCTAGGAATAGGCAATAGAGGCAATTGTGGCAGATAAATCATTAGCAATATCAGGAATAATAAAATAAGTACGGGGAATGACAAATTTGTGAAATCCATTATTTATAACATGGCAATAAAGAAATCATGCTGTATTATTACCAAACACAAACAATAACTGACTTAAATGTGACTTTAATGAAATAGCAATTAATACAGTTCCATAGAAGAGGTGTCATAATGGCTAGGCCATTTTTATTTGCAATTACTTTTCAGGAACGTTTTCATATGTAAATATAAATAAGTGTATTGTATGCCGTAGAGAGAGTTGAAAAAAGGTTAACATCTTTAAAAAAATACTCTCAATTATTTTAATTCTCTTGTAATATTGATTATATAGTAGACAATGTATGCATATGGAAAATTTCAAACTAATTATTTCACTGGTAAGTAACAGCAGCATTAATACTAGTTATCCATTATTTATACTATTTCTAAACTATAAAAAGTCTACAATGCTGAGCAATAATAGTAGAGTCTCATGGTTTATTATCAGACTAAATTTATCTTTTGCAGATGGAACAAACTGCATTAAACAAGAAGGCAAATACCTTTATTTTGGCAATGCAATGTTTAGAATTTTTTTCTTCCAAAATTATCAACAAAGTAGACCATATATTTAGAGAATAATCTGTGTCCTTCATCCTCCCAGAGGAGACAACCAGAAGGAACAGATTGCAGTGTGGGAGACAGCACAGGCATGAAGAGTTACTTCCTATCTGCAAGTTAATAATTGTGCTTTGTGGTTTGACAGGCCAATGATAGGTTTAGATAAGAAAACCATTCCTGTCCTTAAAAATCAAAGTTTCTGTAGTAACATACTGCATATGGGTCCTATAAAATCATTTTCTACACAAAGTCATCTAATTCAAGATCTGTCCTATTTTATTGAGATAAGAAATTATTAAAATGTGAAGCTCTAAAAATAGTGGCTTATAATTGAGAGGCTAATTCTCTCTTAATTATAGGTATGCTACAGTGGCACTATAATTAGGGATGATCAGTAACTCCAAAATGATTCAGACTTTATCATTCACTCTGTACAAGGATGTGCATGGGTTCCATAAACAGAAAACTGCAGAAAATGAAGACATAGACTAATTTTCCTCACATCTCTTGGTGGTTACAAGATTGTTCTCCATTTACTCTCTCTTTCAAGCAAAACAAAGTAAATATTTCATGAATGTTTCGTTTAATGATCATCACTGAAGAAAAGTATAGATTTTAAATTAGAAAATCTGCAGCTTAAATTGAACTTCTCCAACAATTACATACTCACTGACTTTACTAAAGTAATATTAATATAATATGGTTTGCTATTATTTACCTGAAATCTGAAAATATCTTAGACTTTAACGGAAAGAAAAACATCATGTCAGTACAAAACAGATCCCTAACTATTAAATAAAATAGTCATCTTATAAATTTATATGAAGTGCTTTTATCTCAACAAGAATATACTTTTATGAAACAATTAACATTGAGACAAAAGACTAGGAGTTCCAAATTCTGAATTCTATTTTAGAATTGGCCATTAATTTCTAAATGGTCTCAACATATTTTTTATCTTTCAGTTAGTTATTATTTGAAATGTAGACAATGACCTAACTTCTCAAATCCATGTCTGCGATGCTAAATCCAAATCTCTGGCTATGACGAAAACCAACCGTTGACTTGATAAACTCAGTGATAGCAGAAAATTTAACAATAATATAACTAATAAAATTCCTAGTTATAAAAGAGTATAAAAAGGAAAAAGCTATCACTAAAGGCAAATTAAGCCACATTACAAAACATGAAGATAAATGTTAGAACTTTAAAGATTAGCAAGTGGTAAAAGTGTATTATTGCATGTGTAATCTGCTATTTTACTAGGTCTTGGCTCCAAAAGTAAGCATAATGAATGGGCAGAGAACAAAGTAAGCAATACATGTTTTCAGCCTGGCTTTAGCCCACTTCACCCATAACCCTTTCCTGGTCAGGCTGGGCACCATAATAATCAGTCTGTCAGCTTTCACTCTGTTCTGTATCTACCTTACACAGAAGCCCCAAAATTCCTTAGGACCAAAGGAAAGTTGAGAGAGGATGAACCCAAGACCTGTGGTGAATGTTAATTTTAGGAATAGAAACAAGAATTTCCCTTGCCACATTTTTCCACAGAAAGTCAGTAATTCAACCACACTACAGCCAATAGACATATTACAGTTGACCCTATGATTTAAGGAAACAATATTAATGAAAATCAAATATTTTTGTCTTTAAAATGTCTCTAAATTGGCTTCATTTTGTTCAATATTTTATACAACATTCTATGAAAAAAGTTATTGACTCAAAGGGAATCTGTTATTCAATTTCCCTATACTAATTCAGTAACTCTGTGTGAAAGGTATGATACTGGATGGATACAGTTGGAAAGCCATAGTATCCTAGAAAACATTTTGAGAACCAGAAGCAAAAATAATATTTTCCTTACTATTATCATCATGGCATCTAATTATCAAATATTATTGTAATACAGTTAGAAAAATTGCTCAAAATTACTCATGAACTAGCAACATTTTTATTTAATTCAACTTGAAGAAACAAAACTTTTATATACATAATTTCCCAAATTGCAACCGTGTCATATATTTCAATGAAATAATTAACATATACAGTTCCTATTCTCTTTGGTGATGCATGCTGTTTTATTGGCTTCTCTTTTTTGTTACAAACAGAATAATGTGATTTTAAACAAGTTTGAGCCCACACTCTTCTTTCTCTAGATAAGGAGACGCTCACTACAACATTATATGCACTGAGACCTAGCCAATGTCATTTCATCAACAGTTCCTTTTGGAGATAGTTTGAGAGGAACTGTGAGGACTTGCTTGGGTTTCAACCGTGTCTCTAGCATTACACAAACAAGTGTGGATGTAACCAAGAACAGAGCATGAAGGCAGTGAAGTAAATCCAGAGATTTTGCTGCACGAGGAAAAATAGTGTATGGAAAGAACCCTGGCTAGGAGGAAAAGACCTCAGCATACTTATTAGTTGCATGAATGTGATCAAATACCCCAAAATATCTGAGCTTCTGTTTAATAATGCACAGATATCAAACAAAAATCATTGCCCTGACTATCAGACAGAAATATTGTTAGATTAAAAGAGGTAATGGATAAGAAACTTCTTTGGGGAGCTATACTGATAGATAGAAGTCATCAATTTGCCTAACTATCCAACATCACTTCTCTATTACTCTAGGGAAGAAAAGCTCCACAACCTTATACAACCTCCACGATTGCATATTGGAACAAATGGGCTCCATGAAGTTAGTGCACTGAAACAAAAGAGTAGCAACATTCTTTTCCCAAACTCAACTAGCTTTCTTGTCTTGTCTACTAGGGAATGTGAATACACTGGCCATATAATTCTGGCACCTTGGTGATTAAGACACGTGTTTCTATGATTGACTCAGTGAAGATATACTGAAAAGCTTTGTGAATGTGAATGTGTAGTAGTGAAAAGTAGCTGACACTACTACTGTCCAAACAAGGTAATAACTGAAACTCTCCATAGATGCATGCTCAACTGGAAGAGAGAGTCTGAAAATAATTAAGATTATTTTAATCAACATAAGTAGCACCAAGTAAATCCTGTTATAACAGGCATCTGCATCATTCTCATAGATCTCATTTACTTCAAGAGGGAGCACCTCATTTTTCCAAATAAGATAAAAGCAAGCTACACTGCATACAAATATTAAAAATGCTTTCAAATGCACTTCTAATTGAGGAACATACATTTTTAAACCGAGTATTCATACACATATTGCATATATGTTTAGAAATGATAATACATTTTCATTAGTAAGAAATCTACATTACAAGATTCATTCTAAAATCTGCATTAAAGTAAAAAAAGCTGCTGATGGTCCACATTTTTGCACTTATATTGAGGTACCTAATTAATTCATCAAGGTCCTGGACTCTTCACATACACCCAAGTTACTATCTGTTATTAGCCATGGTTCTACCACCCCCACTCCCAGAACCCTTTCTCCCATAGTATCTTCAGCTGAAGTGAAGTTATTCAGAAAAGAGATCAGAGGTAATGTAGCATGAGATAGTCTTCAAATTTTGATGGCCATTTGAAGGTCCTAATCCTAATTCCGGAATAAGCTGGACTAGATTTCACTGAAACTCAGATATATTCGAATATATTTGTAGATTATCAGAGACCATTATATGTCACATATATTGGCTTCAGACCTAAGTTAATCAGCTGTATTTAAACATTTTCATAGAAAGAGTTGTTTTATACACACAATAGTAGAAAGAAAGAAAATTATGCCAACATCAGGTCCTTGGGCTTATCCTATAAACAGAGCATAAGAACAAAAGTTAAAAGAAAAAAGTAACCTACATCTAATAGACACAGTATAAATATACTACATATTTTAAAAGTTAGGAAGTGGAGAGCCTTTGTTGGCTTTTCCTTGGAAGCTTTGCACAGAAAATTCAGAATCGACACATATGAACATAGTCTGTTTCCTCACACATAATTAACATAATTGGTTTGAATGTGAGTTTTTCAATTATAAACTAGGTAAGATACATGCAGTCATATTTATTTAAAATCAAATAAAAATAAGATGTTTTGCTGAAAGCATAATAATCTAAACTTAACTACTATACTTTGCTTCAATTTTGTTCCAAAAGGACAATCAATTTTTGTAAAACAGATTTCATTGCAACATTGTGATTTTTCTCCTAAGGAGTCAGGAATCAGAAACTAGAGCTGGACCGAAGTATCAGGATAGGGAAGGGTCAGAAACAGAGACAAAGTCAAGAAAAGAAATAGAATTAGGGGTGCTTTCACATAGTACCTTGGAATTGACTATGGGAGGGAAACAAAGTTTAAATAGGTTAAATTTCAGGAACAAAATCAGAAACTACAAAGCAGAATCTCTTACCCTGAAAAACTCTTTAGTGGAGCCAGAGTCTAATGTTCCATAAGCAATTTCTGTTTGCTTAGAAAGATCCTCAGCACTTTCGATGGGAGACACCATCCTCTCTACAGTCAGGAAGGCAGCTAAGTTAGCCGTGTAGGAGGAGATTATGATCAGGGTAAAGAACCACCACACACCTCCAACAATGCGCCCAGAGAGGGATCTAATAACAAGTATGAAATGGATTTGTAAAGTGAAATGAATGACCTAATAAAAAAACAAGTTAGCAGTATTATGCAAATATTGACTTATAGGGGAATATTTAATTTTATATTTTTCAATGTATCTACTAGTTAATGAAACTGGAAATCATTAAACATTTTGGGCAAGGAGTACAGAGTAGCTAAATTTAATAACATACACACAGGTCAAAACTTCTGATTTCTGGAATACTTTCATAATTGTAATGCCCAAATAGTTTATGACATGAATCCCATAAGAAAGCAATTTCAAGAAATTTACAAATACTCATAAAAGTTTATCCACTCATGATGTAAGTAAACATAAACAAGAGAATGTAATATCACCAGCAAACCTCATAACAACATTTATGAACAAAATCAAAAATTAAAAAAAGCATACTCCACAGATGTAACTTTAAACACCAAAGAAATCCTCCCTTTAATTCAATCAGTGAATTTCCAAAACAAAAAAGGCCTCAAATTTTGTTAATTTTGTGTATGTAAAACATAGGTATTAGATACAGTACAGGAGAGAAAAATGAGGAAAAAATAATGCTACAAGCAAAGATACCGCACAAAATATAACTATTAATGAATAAAAATCAGATGGCTTCAGAGTATGGATGGCTATGACCCTGTTCCTTTATGTGTCCTGCTCAAAAAAAAATAAAACTCAAAGAAAACAAATTAGACATTTAAAAGTTTGTGAAGACATAAATTTCTAGTTTGATGTATAATAAAATAACAATATTTTTCTGACTACAAATTCTTACATAAAATAGTTTTTAAAAGCTTAATAGATACCCAATAATTTACTTTAAAACCTGAAGTAGAGGAATACAGGTATAGAGATATAGAAAAAGATATATACTGTATTATTTTGAAAGATTTGATGGGATTCTGCACGTAACTAAGTATTTAAGTGATATTGACAAACCAATAAAACTAACCGTTTCTCTGTTGTCAATAACTCTACTATGTCTAACAATTAGACTTGCTAGTGTGAACAAGTGATAGTTCTAAAAATTTAGATCATGATTGGCAATTTGTGATCTAAAGTTTCTGACAATTAACAGTAAGAAATAAATCTTTTGATGAAACATATTCTAGATCAAACACTTGGGAAATATTTGTAGAATAAACCACTCAAGCAGTTAAGAAAGGAGAGAAGCTAACTTAAATGAAAAGTTTTTTGATATAAAAACATCAGTTGCTAAAATAAAGGAGATAGAGAGAGAAAAATAGCAAGAAATAACAAAAAGAATATAATTAAGGGACTTTATCACAAAGTCTGTATGAAATACAAAAAAATAAATATGAAAGGATGGAAAAAGTTAAACACTTCTCACATATATTCTGAAAAGGATATTAAATATATTTTACATTTGAAAAATGCCTTATGTAGACAAAATCACTCTCAAAATGTTCACTATTTATCCAATATCAATGGGAAGTATAGTTATATGACACATATCATATATTTAAGAGCGCAGATTCAGTACCTGCCTGCTCAAATCCCTTAAAACAAAAGCTGATTACATGGTAATTGCTTTTGACTCTACATATTGCGTATTAATTTATGACACGTTTAAGAATCATTTTTGTGTCATTCTATTCCAGTTGTAAAAATTAAGGAAAGTTAGATGTAAGTTGTCCTCTATTCCAGTCCTTATATCAGATTTAATATGTCAACTGATTTAAAATGTACATGATATCTAAAAATTTTTATTGGACTTATAAATAATTCAAAGGTGAAAAGTACTTCAACTATTTATTATTTACTTTTAAGTATTTTTAAAGTATCAATTCATGTTTCTCAAAGAGTTCCTGAGAAATTATGCAGAGAAGGAAATTCAATATTATTTTATGGTGACAGACAAAAATTACTTCTACAATTAAAAGTAAAACTTTCGCCCATCAGCATCAGCACTAAAGGAATAAAGAAATGTGCATATGCTCTTATTTCTTTTTAATCCCTACTAAATCATTTTTTAAATGATATATGTTTTTATATTCATTTGATTCCTTTAGGGTCATTGGGGACAATCCAGAAGCAAACAGGACAATAAAAATAACCTTTACAGCATATTGCTCTCATAATTTCTGTGATTCTATTCTTCATGAGACCATGTCTTATAGATAAGATATTCTAAACTTAATTTCAGAAAAATGAGAAATCACTTAATTTAATAAATAACTCTAGATTACAACTTAAATGTGTCCTATTAACATTAATAATATAGTTTCATATCATATTTTACTTGGAAAAGAATCATAATTTTTTTAATATTTAAAGACATTTCTAAAGTGATCTGTGGATGTCATGCTTTTTAAAAATGATAATAAGCTACTGTATTCTTCTCAACTAGGGTAACCATCATTGCATTCTTAAAAAATGATAGTTTTGTTCATTAAAAATCATTAACTTTTCCAATGTATTATGTTGAATTTTAAAATTCATATATAGCATAAGTGAAAGATATGTACCTCAAATGTTTTAATAAAATAAATTTGTATCAAATACATTCTGAATGAAAAAATACCAATCAATAACAAGGAAAAATATGCTATCTAAAAATCTGTTTATCCTACCAGGAAATAAAAGTTACTACATGTGAAATTGTAGTGTCATGACTCATGAATGAAATCAAAAGCACAGAAAAAACATCTTAATTTAGATGCAGCCTTGATGAAAAGGAGAAGTCATCTATATGTCATGGTGGACTCTGGGATAATACAGATTGCTGATATGCCTTGTGCTCCAGTCCCTGTGTGCAAATAGGTTTCCCACTCCCTGACAAACACTGGATACCTAAACAACTACCTGCAGTGCCATCATGCCCAGGCGCAGGCATCTACTGGAACCCAGGCCAGACTGGGCTGACACATCCTACTTCATAATGAACCCACATACACTTCTCCCTACTATCCAAAAGACATAGCACAGGATATTATTGCCTTACATTTCAGAACTAGGGTAACATACTTCATTGTTCTTCTTACCAAAGGGAGAACCACTTCTTTATCATTTTATGGGTCAGAATGTTCTCCGAGACCCCAATTTGGTTAGTATTTGCCTCCAAATTATTAGAAACTTCTCTGTATATCTTTAACTTAGATCAAATAAACTAAATACAGAGATGATAAAACTATGAATCTTATATATTTTGTCAGAGATAAAAAAAATGTGTGTGTATATATATATATATATATATATATATATATATATATATATACACATATATATACACACATATGTCATGCTGTGCAAATTCCATTGGCATATTTCTAATTCACTGAAGTCCCACAGGGAAGTCACAGGGAATCTGGTGGAACTGAAATTTTTAAAATCTGTATAATTCATAAAAATGTAATTTTTTTTTATCATTCCCACTATAATTACCTACTATCAGAGAAGTAAGCTACTGATAATTTCTGGCTACATGATGTATTTCCTTTATCTTACTCAGTGAAATATACTAAAAAGATTGCAAAAGATGCAAATCTTTGAGCTTCTCATACAGTTTTCTTAAATTAATCACTTGTTATTCTCAAAAGTGATTTTAAAAATTTACAATATAATAAAATTGTATCATGAAAGGCACCCGCTCCACTAGTTATTAAGATATCCTGTAAAATCGAAGAAGGGTAATAGAGCCCAAATTAAAATGTGCCAGTAGAGTGATAATCATTTTGACTTAAAATGTTAATCACACTAGAAAAATCATGATTTATTCCTCTGAAGAGCCAAACATGGCTATCATTCTTATTCATACGTGCAACATGAATAAAATCAATGGGTACTTTGTGGTAGATTCATTATAATTAGGTATTCTAGTGCAGGGATTTAACATATCATAATGAGATTAAAGGTAGGTGAGTTTATTCCATGTGTGTGTGTATTACCATTCGATATGGACAGGTTTTTTAATGAATGATTAGTCCCTTCCAGGCATTTGTGGGTAGTTGAAAATATGCTATTATATTAATCCAGCAACCTCACCTAGAAAAAAAATAAATTTTATAATATCTCTCCCATACCATTTCCATGAACTAATGATGGGAAAATAAAAGAGATGAGATGTGTGCCAACGAAGTTTTATCTAACAAGGTGTTACTTTGCAGTTAATAAATAATGTTGCCCATTTTCCCATATACAGGTCTGTGGATCAACACACAGATGACTGTAAAATGAGAATATGCAGCAAAAACACGGTACCCCTCCAAGAAGGCATGGAATGATAGGAACCTTATGCATTTTATAGCCTCTTCATGGTGTGTATAATTTCACCAGAGAAATAGATGAGCAACATTCAAAGAACATTGTTCAAATATTTCACAGACTTATGCCGAAGCTAAGAGGATGTCCTTCAAGAGTCTTAAACTGCTTGGACAGGAAGTCGGCAGCTGGTAACTTCTTTAGGGTGAATCCATAAACACCATGAATGTCCACTTGAGACCTGAAATGCACAAAGTTGAAGCAGGTGAGTAACCAACCTTGGCGAAATATCGCATCCTTGCTGCATAAAGGCACCCAAGGAAAACCAGAGACTATTAAAAATCCCAAATTCATTAGTTGATTCACTACTTTGTGTTTCTCTTCCATCTTCAAACTCCTCAGTGTGCCACTCGTAGGGGCTAAATCTGCTGACCAGGAATAAAACTACACTGACCCCAATGTAGGCAAAAACAATGCACATCCAGATCTCATAGGCTAAAGGATCAAGAAAGGAAAACACTCCTGGTTTGGACTTCTGAGGCTTCTTGATCATGATAGATATCCCGAGGCTCATGAAGGGCTTTGAGAAGTCAATCACCTCTTCTCTCACAAGGGTAATAGTTAATGGAGCAATTGCAATATCAGCTTTCTGTAAGGGAAAAAAAGGAAAGTAATAGTACCTGGAGTCATGGTGAAAAAGGAATCGTGGTTATGTCACTGGATCAAAGAAAAAGGAGAGGAAATCAGAAAAATGACAATAATTTTTTCCTTGGTATAGTCCCAGTAAAGGATAAACAAAAAGGAATTATTCCCCGAATGCCCCTCCTCTTTATGAATACACAGTATACCCAGCTGGCTTGACTATGATCATTACACATCTGCACTGCATCCATGCATTTGCAGCCTTTTGACAATACATATGGCCCATATGCTTCAAGAGAGATGAAATGCTTGTCTCAGTTAATCTACATGTCTACTTCTGGCTTCAATCTTAATCTTTCAGATGTTCACAAATCAACAAGATAATGTTTCTAGAGTAATGTGGGAAATCAACAACCTCAGATATAGATACTTCACAGGGAGAGGAAGCAGTCTGTCAACAACAATTCAAATTGAATGACTTTATCTATGAGAAGAGCTATACTTACCCCATATACAAGTTCTCCAACCATCCCATTCCAAATTTTCGTGTCTGCATCCCTGGCCCCATACTTGCCATCACCAACAATTGTCAACTTGTACTTGAACCCACAATGTTTGGCGATTTCTGCAGCCAGGTCAACACAGTAGCCCTCATAGCGCTCATTGCCTTCAAGCATTTCATGATTTTTCTTCATCATAACATACGGAGATTCCTATATGAAAAGACTTTGCTTTAGCTGATTAAAATATCTGTGTTAATTATGTACTCTCATTGAATCAAATCTTCTGGTTTAATTATTACCCATTAGCCAGAGTGAATGAAGAATATAGATGGTGAACACACAACAGTAGAGGAATAATTTAAGCATAATGCTTCCCCCCAGAAAGCCTCGGAATGTCTATCACTATAATTCATTAAGACGGCTTGTATGCAAGCATACTGAGTTAACAAGATACTCAAAACCACAAACTCTTTGTATGTTCTCTAGCCATGTTTGTCACTGCTAGGACTTAGAGCAAAATATTACTGCTCAAAACCTATTTTATTCAAGTTTGGATTCACCACACCCTTATCCTTGATTAAGGTTAGGCCAATCCCAAAACCAGCATTCACCCAAAACCCTGTGTCACTGCTGTCCCAAAGATAAGGTTCATGTGGAAATCAGGTTCATGGTCAGTGATACACAAACTGACAGGATCATTGTCATGATGATGTACTGATTCTACCCCCGCAGGCTTCAGGTCTCACTTCATCTGTGAGATACAATATCCTAGAATGATGCTACAAGGATAGCTAGAGAGTAGCTTCCCCCTGTAAACATAAGAAAAAGGAAGCAAGAAAAAATGAATCAACACAGTCCAATATTCTCCATTGGAAAGTGGCACTGAGGATATTTGGGGTCTCAGTGAGATAGTTCCTCTCAATGGCATGATAAAGGCAAAAATCCTCAAATGTCTAATTTGCACTTATCAAGAGATTTTCAATTGCCTACTAATGTTTTAATTCAAATCCCTTACCAATCTATCTATATCTGCTCTCAATATTGTTAGGAGAATAAATCACACCAATTTACAACTTCACTGCTAAGCCCATTTTTTTTTGTAAAAGAAAATACAACAAAATAGTTTGTCACAAAATTCTGTCCTATAACGAACACCATTTTCTCCATTTCATTTCACCAACAGCTTGTCATGCTGATCCACATCTCTCTTCCATCTATCCAAAGCCTGGGTGTTGAAGATCCAGTTCAATTTTTCCTTATTCATTCAATATGCATTTTTTGTGTACTAGCTATGTGCCAACCAGTGCTGAAATTTGGAGTAAAAACAAGGGAAATAATCCTTATTTTTAAGGAGATCATCTTTCATTAGATAGAATAAAGACAACTTGACATCATCATGAAATCATGTAACAAAGGGAAAGAAAGAATTTACACAGTATCGGGTGGGAATGGAAAGGTGAATAACTCGCAGAAACATGAGGAACACTCTTCAAGACATTCCCCAATTGTTCACCGATGTAAGCACCAGGGTAGGAATTATCTGTGTAAACTGTAGCGTTCCTTAAAGAAAATGGGGAACATTTTCAATGCTTTAGCTAGATCTTGTGTATTCCTTTTAACAGAGTAAATATGAAATAAATGATTAAAACATTGCAAAAGAAGCAAAACAGATATTATTCTCCTAAAATATAAATAGCTACTCCTGCAGATATTAGCCATAAGAAAATACAAAGTAAAACATGGCATATGTAGCAAATTACCAAAATTGTGGTGACAACAACAGTCTTATTCTCAAGCCCAGAGGTGTCATTTCCAGAAGGGAGCTCAGTAAGGGTAACAACCATTTTGTCCACTTCACTCCAGTAGCCAATCTGGAAAAGGTTACAGCAGACAGGTGTATGGATAAATGACTTGTCTATTAGCAAAGCATTTAATTATTTTCAAAGCCATGTCTGAATCTGAAATTAGAACCACATTTACTGGACTTGTTCTAAATAGAAATGTCTTTTATATATGTGAATCTAACAGGAATAAAAGGAAGTATAAAAAAATTCCTAAAAATGACTTGTCTCTTCATATTCACTTTTTGTATTTTCTAAGAGTAATTGTTTGGGAGTGGTCATATAGAAATGTAATTAAAATCCAAATAATGACATTTTAGCCTAAACAGCTAAAAGGTTGATGTTGAATTGAACAGTTACATGTGTATTTGCACCAGCTACTTTTTGTCTTCTGAACTGTAAACCTTCAACAATAATTCTTTCTCTTTTCATTAAAGACTTCCCCTTCAGTCTAAAAAATTAAAGTTCAACAGCTCTACCTATAATTATTTTTAAAATTACAATTCAATGTTACTTACCAGAAATAAACAGACTTTAGGAAAAAAAAACTTCAAAATATATCTGTTTCTGGAAGTCGTTAAACTCTATGTGAATACACATCTCCAGAATTCTCTGGAAGGGTGAACTCATAGGCTAGCTAACTCACCTCCTCACATAGAACTGCCTTTAAATCACTAAGGATTTACCTTCCGGGGCCCATTAGTTTTGAGCTCCATGATGTTAATTGTATAGTTTATTCTTTTTCCATTCTGGTCAAACTTTATATTTCCTGAGAGACCTTCAACCTGAACCTAATGAAGAAATGGGAAAGCAGCAGAGTTATATATTTACTTCAACCAAACATATACACTGTACAGATTACTTTAACCAGATGAAGTCAAGAAAACTACATCAATAATATTTGTTTCTCTCTTCAACCTACCTTTGTGTTGTTAGAAAAGAACATTGCCTGTATATTAGACACAAGGAATAAGACAAGGATGACTAATTTAGCAGGAAGAAAACATTAATGGCCATATTAAGTCACGTTAACGATTATTTTGAGTAACTGACCTGTTTGAGGGCCCTTTCTATTTCTACACCTTGTCCCCAGGGCACTGCTGGGTTTGCCAGACAGTCTCCTGCATTCCCCCTTCGGGAGATTTCAATTCTTTGCTTCCTTAGGTTGCGGAAGGCTTCAGTCATCACTTGAACGGCATCATAGGTCAGAGCAGAAGTATACTGCAAAGGATCACACACATTTCATAAGAACGGGAGAAAATTCAGAAACTCACTGCACCCCAGCAATCAAGACTGCAGTTGCTCAGCACACAATACCATTTAAAAGTCCAAGAATTTAAACACAATTTCTGCATCTAGAAACCTAAGAATCGAAGAGAAGCATTACAAAACATGGGGACTATGAAATGTGCTCCTGACTCTAAACATTTTCTATTATGTTAATATCTCAGCTGTTTCAGGTTAGACCTTTTCATAATAATTGTGTCAGTGTTTATTTTTCTTTTTTTTTTTCTAACCTGCTTCTTGTTACAGCCTCACTTTATAGCCTGCTATGGTGATATACAAAACTATAAGACTAACAATTAATATTTCTTTACAGTCCAATGAGAAATTCATTTGTCAATGCAGAAGGAATATGGATTACTTTCAGGATTCTTAGTCTCTAATTCAACCCTGGTCATGTTCACACTGATCTGCAGTGGTTTTAGGGGTGTCTACTTAGGCTCCCCTAGGCGATTCTGGTAATCAAGTAGAAGAACCACAAAACTTCATAATTTCTATGCCCCCATGCCTCCATGCTTCAATAGTATATGATAACATTGGTTCCAAACTTATGGTATTCAGATCCCAGTGGGACAGCAGAATTATTACAGGTTCTAGGGCCAAGCCCTAGGTACATGTGTACAAGGCATTGTCAGTGTCTAGATAAGTAGTAGTATGTGCATGTATCTATACTACCATTTGCCAAATGGATGATGCTGTCAGTTAATGATTAACTACATTTTGACATTAAAGTTTTACTGAACGTTGAGAAAATTTCTGTCATTGTTTTTCAATCTGTAGGTACTAAGAGTACGGCGAAGCTTGGGAGAAAAAAATGCAGTACTGTACCATACTGACTTTGTGACATGCTAAATTCTTGATCACCAATCCAAAACAGGTACTCAGCATTCCCAAATAATTCTACTCAGTTCCTTAGTATTTCAGGTCTTTCACTCTCAAAAATGATAATTTCATCTTTGTCTTCTCCAAATACTGAGACCTCCACACATTTCTCTTTCTCTAAATTCCACTGAAAACCTTGCCTTCCTTGTCATGGAAAAAAGATAAGCCATCTAACAGTAAAACCACTAAGCTCCCCATACTCTGTTGTTCACCTGAGATGACAATACAGGACATCTACTTAATAAAAGACTTCTTGAACCAAATAAGAAATATCACATCAAGATATATCTGCTTCACTTGTATGTTTGTTTCTACTCTAAAGGAAAAAAATTGATTAAT
Organism: Homo sapiens; assembly: GCF_000001405.40. Classification (NCBI taxonomy): domain Eukaryota; kingdom Metazoa; phylum Chordata; class Mammalia; order Primates; family Hominidae; genus Homo; species Homo sapiens. The sequence goes on along the minus strand of NC_000004.12, from coordinate 157,331,534 downwards.
TTGTTTTTATACAGTGATAAGTTTATTGCCAAGATAATTCTTACAATAATGTCTAGGTCTCTGAAAAAGAAATGTAAGCTAAATTGAATAAGTCAAATATTTTAAAATATTGCAGTTTGTATGGAAATTATGATCATAGCAAAAAGCCAACATTTTTGACTTAGCTTGCTCACATTACTAAGGGAAAGCTATAAAGCCGTCTACCAAATGTGTTTGAGGTCTACAAATGTTGGTTAACTACATTAAAAAAAATATGATTAGCTTGAAAGAATTGAAAGCATTCAGATCCACGTAGCATATTATGAATATGATTCAGAGCATGCACACATTAAGAGTAAAAATCCTTTCAACCTTTTTCAAATGCTCAAAACTAATCAAGTCTTAAGCCTATTACCATTTTAAATTAAAAGTCACAATCATAGAAACACAATTCTGGGTTGAGAGAATATCAACAGCTTCTGTTTCCAGAGTTCCTTTTTGCTTATGTTCTGCATGTATGGCTCATTTATTTTTCTAAACAAATATGTTCACATTTTTTGATTGGATAGTTAAATATTTCAGTTTTATTCTACCATTCATTAAACTAGATGTAAATTAATTTGAAAGGAGCATGATGGCAATGTAACTATCTCCTTTGAAAACAAATGCTTCATCTCTGCCCCTGTGTTTATGTTCTGTGAAATCCCTCAGCTGAGTTGGAAATTTATATTTCAGTGGAGGACCATTTTGCTTTGCAGTGCTATATCACAATCACGTCATAGCCACACATTAAGAAAAAATCAGGGAAATCGTTTTTACAGTCCATTTTCCAAATGTGCTTTTTACTTTGCTTTAAATGTATATTTATTGAGACTTATTTGTCAAAAATAAAATGAAATATGCATTTTAGACATGTTTGTTATGTCCAATAGTCATCAGCCAAACCAATCAATAATACATTACTGTGATCTCTGATACCAGAAAACAGTATTCTAACACCAAAAAAGGGGAGAATGAAAAAAAGTTCTGTGTATAGCTCAAATTTAATGAACATAAAAGAGGATAAATAGGCTACAGTATAAATTTTCATGGGTTATCACAATGACGGGCACCTTTTTCTAAACATAGTATCTACATCATAATAAAATTTTGAAAAAATATATTCAAAGAAAAAGTACTAAAATTTAAGTACTATTAAAGTGTGACGATATTTCCCATGAATGGCGACTTTCAGAAATTTTCTTTAACACTTGAATTTAGTTGACTATAGTTTAGAAAGCATTGCATTTAGCATCAGAAGACAAGGCTCAAGTCCAGATTTTATTATTTACTGTTCTGTTGCCTTGGGCAAGTGAACTAAAGTATTATTGTCTAAGGTTGTTTAGTAAAATAAGGAGAGCAATGCTTCTTCTGTCTATGTTACAAGAGCGTTGAAAAGGAAGGTAGGGAAAAATATTCATGTTTACCTTGTTCTCTTTGTGACAAGCCTGAGGTAGACAGTTTCCCAGTAAGTCTAAAAAACCCTATGCCACCACTGTTTTTATTCCAATTCTATAGGTGAAGATTCCAGGTTATAAACTTTCATTTTACCCAGCTTCACAAAAAATGTGTGGCAAAAGTGGATTTGAATCCAGATCTCTGTGATTCCGAGGTAATTATGATGACCAATGGTCCTGGTTTTCCTCGATTGTCACAATTTTGCAAGGAAAAGTCTTGAGTCCCAGGAACCTTTTCAATCCCAGGTACACTGGGATGGTTAGTTACTTTATTTGGCAAATACTGTATCAAATAAATGTATAGTAGGTGAGAAGCTTGATGAGTTGTAAAATATGTTATATATGTAAGTTATTGACCAGTAGGTTTGCATTATTTTCTTCTTTTGTTACTATCTATCTTGATGCAAAACTAGTTTGTTTTTACCATGTTTTGAAAACCACCATCTCACTCCACACAAAAGGGTTCTGTGATCTAATAAGTACAGAAAATGATTTTCACATTGACATATTATAGACCCTCAGAAATCCCGCAATAACAGTTTAACTGTTTAATTAGTATTTCCCAAATTAATGACCAATTTTGAAATTTCTTTAACATCAATTATTTTCCATAAGAATAGTGTTTTATGTAACATACTTCGGAATGTTAAAAAGTTTTATGGCCTGGTACATTTTACGTACTCATTTCTAAAATAGCCTCAATTATTTAGTTAAAAAATTTTTATACATTGATTGATATTCCTCTGGAGAATCTTATGCAATATTAATTCTCAGTTTCATCCTTTTACAAAATAATTTAAAACAGGGTCAAAAATTATGATTTCTAGGAAAGATAAGTAAATCTATAAGAAAAATTTTAAGAAAGTTTTTTTTAAGATAACCAACAGTGACCAAATCAAATAGGGCCATAAGACAAATGAACAGTATGAGGAAATGTATTATAAACTTAAAATTATTCACTTGTCTTAATTTCAAATTCAACTACAGTTTACCCTATGGAAAAGAGCTGTCTGTGATAAGGTCGTCTTTAATTTACTGTAAAGCATATTGAATATGTGCCCTTTGAAACTTCACTGCATAAAGGCATAAAAATCTTCATAAAAACCTTAGTAAGCACACAAGCTCTATCACATTTTCCAAGGGTGAAAAGGGAGCTGCATTGGCAAGAAACCTAAATTAACATCTTTTATTATTCTCCATAAATAATAAAATAATTTTAATTTTCTGTGAAGAAAGAGTCTTCAGGTAAAAGGAATAAATGTAAAACAACATATTTTTGCCTAAATTACCCAAATTGGCTATTAATCTTTACTGAAAATCTTACAGATTAAGAATTTTATATTCAGGAACTTTAGATTACTTAAGAATTCAAATTTTCAGATAAAGCTAATCAGATTCACCAAGACAGAAAAAAGATGCTGAAATCAAGGCATTGTCTGGTTTGATTCAGCCATAGGTAAAGACTTCCTTAGAAGCAGATCTTTTATTTTGTTGGTTGAACACATCCCTCTCCCTGACTCTCCACTTCCTAGAAATCTTATAACAAGGTGAAAGTTCTTTATTTTTTATGATCTATGAAAAACAAAATATACATTGTCCAGAGTAATTTAGGATTCAGTTTCGGCACCTGGAGATCAGAGTTGTCTGCCTACCTGCAAGTCACTACAATCTCTAAGAGACAGAGGCACCACTTGAGATGTCAGAGATTTGGCAAAAATTTGAAATGTTAACAATGTTTTATTGAGGGCTTAAGTTAGCACTTCACATAATCATGGTATTAGAGATTTGCAGGAAACCTAAGAGTTTACCTACACTTGTTCCCTTTACAGATAAAGAAATATGAAAATAAGATGTGAGATGCCCTGAATTAAATTATAAATATTAATAACACATTTTTATTTTTAATGGTGTGATATACATATTTTTAAAATTCATGTTTACAAAATAAACAATCTTATCAATATAAAATTTATAAGTTTATTTCAGTCATTTACACACTTTTTAAACTATAAAATACAAGGAATTAATATGTCAAATTTCAAACTTCCAGGTTGTGTTGGGCAAAATGCTGTAATATTAGGAAGAGTGAACGCCAGTCTGCCAGCTGTGGTTTGGACAGTTAAAACACTCAAGAAGCAGAATTAATTCTATTAGGCCACTAGGGTACAATTTAATGCATGACACTAATTACTGAACTGAAAAAGATTATACTATTTTCAGGCAGATCTAATAACTCTCTTAGGACAGCAATTAAGAAAGTTTGAGTCTGCGTGTGAAGTTGTTTCCTGAATAAAATGAGATTCTTGTGGGAAAGCCATTATTTAAAGTGCCACACAAATGTCAGCCACAGATTATTGTTGAATTCCTTAACACCAGTAGGAGACTGAAGACACAAAAGTTGAACAAAGGTTACTATGTGATAAGGTAGAATGGCTAGTCATACCTTACACGATGTTGGAGACATTAAAAATACTAAAAATCAGTCTAAAAATAGAAATATTCATAAATTATTTTTGAGATAGTGGGAAATATCTTTATACTCTTTCTCTTTAAAAAAATTACTTTTAAGGAAGATAAAATGACTGTTTTAATATTCCCATGTAAATCCTGGTGCTATGATGGGTCAGGTCAGATAACTACATTAACTTTACATTTTATCAACTAAAGTAACTCATTGCTTTTCTGTCAGGGCTCAATAAGAGGACACATGCAGAAATCTATGGCAGAAATCTAAATCATATTTCATCACAATAATAATGTTATATTTTTTCCTTTACTTATTCAATATTTTCCAAATAATTACTCTTCATCCCTACAAATATCTATAGTGTGCTTACTCTTTGCAAACCACTGTGTGAGATTTAAGGCTAATAAGATACAAATGAGCCAGATTTCCTTTGAAAGGCTTATTTCTAACCCACAAATATCTCTTGACTGAATTTATATCAGTATATTACCTATGAATGATTACGATTTTACAATTATTATTTCATTTATGAAGAAATTAAGAGAAAAGGCAGATGTAACAAATCCATCTATTTCCCTCCATCCCCATGCCACAACCACAATTAAGACAACCATTGTCTCTTGTCTGACTGTGATATCTTCCAAAAGCTTCCCTGCCTCCACCAGCGCTCCCTGCAATCTCTTGTCATCAGGGCAGCCATAGTAATCTTCCTGTATCAAAGCCATGATCAGCACTCTCCTCTTGTAGTTCCCTGTTGCTCTTCAAATTAGACAAGAAATCCTTAATATGTCAACAAGGCATAAAACTTCTGGATCATACACAGTTCTAAAGTATGATTTCTCAGCATTTCTTCAAATCATTTCTGTTCAACCTAAAGCCTTATGGAAATATTTATATTTTCCTTGCACTGGAGACATTACATATCCTAGTTCCTTTATCTGGAATCATTGTTCCTTATGCTTTCTCCTAACTCCTACTTCTTCAGGTCTCCAATTCCATATTGCTCCCATTGAGAAGCCTTTTCTTACCTCTAGAATTAGGATTAGGAGCTTCTCATAGGTGATACCACAGTACCTTTGCTTTTCTTTATTTGTTGATTCAGGAAGTATCTATTAGATGGTTACTATGTATGAGGATTTATTCTAGGAGCCTGAGTTATATCAATGAATTTTTTTTAAATGGCACTTACTTTCAAGTAGGAGGAGATAATTAACAGTGAAATGAATACATAAATGATAAGAACAGTAAACTAAAAGGTAAGAATTGGGAAAGCTGGATCAGGGAAGGGTGATGCACAAACCCTGATGGTGGCAAGATTGCAGTTTTAAATACATAGCCTACTATTGCCTTCCATGAGAAGACAGGATTTGAAAGAGATCTAAGGAGTGCAGGAGACTTAGCCATGCAAATATTTAAGGGGACAACAGTCAAGAAAAAGAAACAGCCAGTTCAAAGGCCCTAAAGTAGGAAGTTGCTTAGGTTGGTTGAGGAACAGCAAGGAGGCCAATGTGGCTGAAACAGAGTGAGCCAGTGTACAGAGATGTGGCTCCATGGGACTGGGTGACAGGGCCTCATAAGACAACAGGATGACTTTGGCTCTTTTACTCCAAGTGAAATGGAGAGACATTGGAGCATTTGGAACAGAACCACAAAATAATCTATTTATACTCTAAAAGGACCACAAGGATGGAAGATAACAGGGGCAGGGGTGAACGGAGGGAAATCAATTTTAGAAACTGTTGTAATAATCCTATGGTGGTAGCTACCTAGGGATTTAGGTTGGCTGAAGAGAAGGTGGTAGGAAGTGAGGCAGTGCTAATGGGGTTTTCTGATTCATAGGATGTAGATTACAAGAGAAAGAGAAAAGTAAAGGACCAAGTTTTTGGTCTAAGCAACAACTGAAAGACGTAGTTGCCATCAACTGGGATAAGAAAGACCGCTGAAGGAATAGTTTCCAGAGGCTGAGGAGGAAGTAGTGAGGAAAATCATAAGTTTAGTTTTGAATATATAAGTTTAAGATGGCAATAAGACAACCTCCATCAATGCTACAATTTAATTGTTGGTTTCTAGTCTGAAGACTGTAATCTCCTTAAGGGCCAGAACTTTGTCTTTTCTCTGACACCTAGAACAGTGCCTGCTGTGGAGTAGACAATAAATATGTGTTGAGTAAATAAATGAATTCATAAATGAATGAATGAATGTTGCCCCAAATAGCAAATTAGTAAAAGGGAATCAGACCTAAAATCTCAGTGCCATGACTTTAGTTATTTTTTGTATAGTTTGTAAGAATGAAGAAATTTAAACATTGTAATTTATATTTGGTGGTTATTAAAATATGTTAAATATTAAACCTTATTTACATTTTATTTTTATTTACTGAATAAAATTTATTTTAATTTGAAAACTTTGGAAGCTGATTTAACTTTAGGGGAAGATGAAAACGTTGAACAATCATTTATTTATTACTCCCACGATTTGATATAATTTCTATAATTCCTAAACCCTAACTATGGAAAGAATTTGGTGTATTGAACTGTATTTTTATAGATTTTTATGCCAATAGCACTAGTTTTTATTGTTGAGTAGTTGAGTAGTAAAATGTGATATGAATTTATCAGGCAATGTATCCAATTCAGTCGATCACCCAAAAGACAACATCAAAGGACATAACCTCATTGTTAATAATCTCATTAGAAATATTTCACTCCCTTTCTGTAAGCAAATAATATATTGAGACTATATTCTTTGTTTATATTTAGAGGGTGCTATATAATCTCCTAGTTTTTCTTCCTCTCTTCTGTCTGGAAGCAAAAATAATTATGAAAGCATGCTCTTGTTACTACCTTCCACATCTGTTGACAATTTAAGGACCTTACCTCTTGCAACTTCCATAACATGACCTCCCTCCTCACTGGTCCCAAATATTTACATTTTTGCAGTAGCAACAAATGTGCAGTTCCCTGGATCTGTCATGCTGTTGCCTTACTTCGAGTCTCTGTACATTTTGCACTTCCCCAAGCAACTTCTCACACTTTTCTTCCTTCTCAACCATGTGCAAAGCCTTGCACAGGCATCCCTCCCATGAAAGCCTTCCTTGACCTTCCCTCCAAACATTGTCAAAATCATGGCCAAGAAACTGGCATATTTTATCAGTCTATTATATTTGCTGATTGATATGATTGTCTCCTTCTTTAGGCTGGATTCTCAAAGACAGGATTCATACATTTTTCATTTATTTATATTTAGTTTCTGGCCTTCTAGTACATAAGCAATGCATTTCTTTGTTAGGATAAACTTCCTCCCCAAACACATTCTCCTCACAGATTTTCAGTAATTTTTATTGAGCTTCAGGGACCTCATAAAATATGCCTCTGGGTGGAGTTAGAGGGATTATAAAATGTTAAAGTTGGAATACACCTTGGAAATTGGCTGAAATTCTCTCATTTTAGGAAATGGCTGGGAAAACAAATTAGCCCTTATAGGCACCTATGTTTCCAAAGCTGTGCTAACCCTTTGCAAGTGTTATTTAATCCTCACAGCAACCTGGGAATTAATGGTCATTACTGCATTGTACAGATGAGAATCCTGGACCCAGGGTCAAACAGTGATTCACAGCCTAAGTTTTAAAACACATTAGTCTAGGTTCTCTGAAACACCTCACCGTGAAGAAGCATAATGATCTCTCTGAAAATGGGCAGAAGCCACCAAAAGGGAGGCATTATGGAGGGGAAATGCTACAGCAGGAAGGGAGCAAGAAAGGTCACAATGCAGGTTCTCAACTCAGTGAAATCTGGCACTAGTTTTGGCAAAATTTTTAACAGAATGCATTGCCAAACATCTCTCACACTGCAAATACCTCTTGCATTTTAATGCAAGACACATTAACTTGAATCATGATACGACTTCTAGGAGAAAAACATAATTTCATTTTGCTTTCATGCTTCTCCTAGCAGGCAGCAGTTGGGGGCAACACAATGACTAACAGAATATTCGAAAGGAGCATGCTGGTTCCATTTGAGGATAACATCCACTCCATCAGAGAACTTACATGGCACCATCTCTGAATGGACGGAAGCCTGCAATTCCACAGAATGGGATCGGCAGTTAGACCCCTTCTAGGCACAGATGGATACATACGCTGACACCAACTAAGGCTCTGGGTATCCATCTACCTGCTCAGAAGCCTCGTTACATGAAAAGTACCTCCCCGATATAAACAGTATGTCTTTTTTTTTTTTTTTTTTTTTTTTTTTTTTGAGACAGAGTCTCGCTCTGTCTCCCAGGCTGGAGTGTGCAGTGGCGCGATCTCGGCCCACTGCAAGCTCTACCTCCCGGGTTCACGCCATTCTCCTGCCTCAGCCTCCGGAGTAGCTGGGATTACAGGAGCCTGCCACCACGCCCGGCTAATTTTTTGTATTTTTGGTAGAGACGGGGTTTCACCGTGTTATCCAGGATGGTCTCGATCTCCTGACCACGTGATCCGCCCACCTCGGCCTCCCAAAGTGCAGGGATTACAGGCGTGAGCCACTGCGCCCGGCCACAAATACTGAATCTCAACTAAAGTCACCAAATAGGAAGTCACCTCGTTTTTGAAAAAAAGTTACTTGGTGTTCTTCTTTAAAATCCTATGGAATGCTTTTACAAAATTGACTTAAAAATTAAAAGATCCATTTATAAATCCAAAAGTAAAGAACTTCAAAATTTCTAATCCTTTTCTAGGACCAATCTCATAGACAGTCATGCACCTAGCATCAAACAACATCTCTATGATGCATACTCAGGTACAACTGTGAGAGCAACTGAAATAACACTGTCCTGCCTGGTTCATATACAATTGCTTTATAATTCACAAACAAAATTACTATACAATTTTTCAACTTTTGCTCTTAATTTTCATAAAGAATGTGAACATCATCTTAACTTTCAACCCACTCACTCTTTAAACTACCCTTAGCCAGTTTTTCATTTTAACTCTGCTCTCAATAAGGTTACCAACTGAAGGAAAAATACCTTCCTGTCAACAGCAGAAATATTGACTACTTGGAAGTAAATTCATGCACGCATGTGTATACCCAATAAAATGCATCAAATAAACAAGTGAAGATCTCATTGTGTCCAAACCCATGGAGAACAAAGATCAGTCTGTGTAGCTCTTATACCTGAGGAACAAATAATATTTAGCGTTCAAGAATTTTTTGTTTGATTGCATAAAGCATTACAGTTATGTTTTAATTATTAAGGCAAATTGAGATTTTTATCTTCTTTTTAAAGTGTTCAAGAGACCAGGCTACTCATCAACTGTTATTTTATACACACACACACACACACACACACACACACACACACACACTCTCTCTCTCTCTTTCTCACTCTCTCTCTTTCTCTCTCTCTCTCTTTGTGGCCATACGTTTATTGACTGAACTAAGAACTGTCTGCAAGTTGGCTTTTTGAAGATTAGGAACAAACTGACACCTATTGTTCTTTAATTTATTTGCAAACATAATATTCTAAACAGCAGTCAGGGTAAAATTGTCCCTTATTCTTCAGGTCTCAGCTTAAAAATTCCCTACCCCCTCCATGTCGCTAAGAGTTTTCTGTTCTCTTCCCTCGTGGCATTCTTCTGTCAATGCTTTTGTCTTTATTCCATTCAACTGTGAGCAGGGACATTATCCCTGTCTTATTTGCCAAAAAAGTGTCTGGCTCAGAATCCACTCAATAAAAATGCCAAATGGATTAATAAATGAATGAATTTATTTATTATAAATTATCATAGGTGTACGGAAGTAGAAAACACAAGAGTAATACAGTAAAGCTCTAATAGCTTTACTTAAACCATAAAAATGTGAAAAATATATTTAGCAGTCAATATGTTTGCCATATTTTGAAACGTGCTCTCTACTCCCTTTATTATTTTCTCCTTCCTCCTTATTTGCCAAGACTCTTCTCTCTCCTCACATATGAAAGAAAAAGAAAAGACAGAAACCAAAGCAAACCTTAATTGTTGTTGTGTGAGCTCCAGGGTATTCTTTTTCTTCCAGTGTTGACCATCTTTCTATAAATTTAGATACCAACGAATCATCATAGTCCACTATCTGAAATCCAGAGACATTTGCACCTCCAAACTGGATTTTTAATAGGTCTCCATCAGTAAATCCCTAAACATAGAACACATTGATATCACGCTTTTTGTTTGAGAACAAAATGCTACTTAACATTTACCAAATAACTCTATACATTGTGGTTTTAGATATTTCAAAGAACATATGAGATATAATAAGCCTGCAGAAAATGTCCCATGTATTTATCAGCCAGTGTTCTTCATCAGCACCTAACCCCACATTAGCATCATAGTGGTTCCCTAATCAATACACGTTTACTGATGGATCATCTCATGAAACACTCATGGTTGTACCTACATAAATGTTCTCCACTCTATTGAGAAATCTTCCATTGATAAGGACTAGGTTTTACTTACTTGGTCTACAGCGGAGAACCACCATGTGGTTACAGACACTTAATAACATTAAAGTAGTTCTCGAAGAACTACAACCTTGTGAGCAAGTTACTCCTGTTTGAATTACTTCTTCACTCAGGTGATAGGAACATCTTCAAAATGAGGTACTAAATGTCCAGTCATTATTTGAGAACAATTAAACAATTTCACATTCAGCCAGAAGCTAATTTTATAGAATATATTAAATCTTAAAAAAAAATTTATCTTGTGTTATTGCAATGAATTCAGTCATTACTAAAACTATTATGTGATATTTACATTGATTTCAAATATTGTGCTGACATGAATTTTATCAACTTGATAGTATATCTCTCTCAAAGATGAAATTAATTTCCATATATCACAATTATAAATGTTTTCACATTTCACAAATATTTATCTTATTGTACACAAAAGTTAAAAGTATCCTAAATTAATTTTGAATTACCACACCCCAAAACTTAGGAGAATCTTTTCTTTGTTATTGATATTAAAACATGCATATTATTATATTATTTAGCTGAAGGAGAAGGTAATTACTTTTTATTGGCTCACAATTTTGTTTCTGTTTATCAAGATAATGCAAATAGTGCAAAAAGGTATATAACAAAAATCATATATTCTGTTTTACCGTAGGTATGTTCCAGTTAAGTTGCTTCAAAACATTCAATTTTAATATATTTGCTTTTCACATATTTACCTCTTACTTCTGCATGACACTTTTACTGCTCTTTCTTAATTTATCAATTTTTGAAATTTTATTGAGTTTTTGTGTATCCCACATGAGTATGTAATTTGCTTACATGACAAAACCATTTATCTTCTCACCCATTTTAATCAGTACTTATAACTCTAAATGTTATTCAGAGCAAAGCCAAATAGTGTACTAGAATTGCATTTTCTTTCTCGAACATGATCTCAGCCCATGTTTATAATCATGTCCCATTTTTTCAATGCTAGAGATTTCTATATGCTTATCCCCATTTTTTCCAGTGCTTCCATGAAAACATTTCATGCCTATGAATAAAGCTTTTTAGAAAATAAAATATTCAAACATATCAGGTAATTTGTTTCAACTTTTTCTTGAATTTTTAATTTCTAGGAGACCCCTTTCTTAATGCTGGAATTCATTATGGAACCATGGCTTTTTAAAGAATTAAATCTATAAGGGTAGTAAGGTTGGAGAAATGAGAACTGGATTTCCTTATGACCACTTCTTCATCACCTTATTTACAAGTTACCCTTTTCAGTGCTGTTGTAAGGGACTTAATTATACACTGTGTTTTAGGAGCCCAATCAAGCATTCAGCAATTCCTAAGGAAATTAATCAATAATATTATCTGCAGATTTTTAAAAAATCTTCTATAAACACCTATTATAGAACTCATTACAACCTGACAGGGGGAAGAAAAGGAAAGTCTCAAGAGTTTGGAAGATGAAAGCCCTTCAACTTCGGGTGGCATTGTTTAATTTTGAATGTCAGTAAAATTTCCAAGTGTCCTCCAAATTCTCAGAAATTGCAACACTATACAGCCTTTCGAACTTATTGATTCACTAGAAGTTCCATATGGCAAAGAAACCAAGTATTGAGAAAAAGAAAAACAAGACTTGAATTCAGATAAAATATTAGGTAGATTTTCTCTCAAGAAGCATGACAGCAGCATGAACTTGCTTTTTCTTTTTCTTTTTAATTTGGTCATTCAAACACTTATTTTCATTTTAATAGCATCAGATATCAGCTCTCAAATTGAGGAGCCACCTTCTGTCATTATTTCTCAATGTTCAAATATAATCTTCTCCATCTGTACATTTTTAAAGATCACAGCTTTCAATGTGGCTCTGTGTTGTTCATCAAATGGCACGATTCACACAGGGGACTGACTGTCCAGGCTGTTTCCTGCACATAATGTGGTTCTGGAGAGACTGAATACAGAGCTTCATCTAGTTTAACTCTTGTTTCTCTTCAGGGAGTCCTTAGCATCTTAATACACTCTAAAGGAAAGTCCTAGAGAATTTTTATAGTAGTTACCCATTTCATTGCCAAACAGAAATTTTGTCTTGAGCAACCCAATAGCATGCAGTTTTGAGATTTCATATTCTAAATTCCTTCAACTTCTAGTGAAAACAACATTTATCAGTTGGAAGGCTGTAAATGTTGTATTGTTTTGTTTTATCTCTTTCTGTCACCACTAGAACTAATGTCTTCTGATGTAACAATGTGATACACTAGGAATCATTAAATTTGTATATGTCAAAAGCTTTTCAAAGTCCTATTATGCTATTTAAAATAAGCTCTCTGCCTCTCTCCCTCTTTCTCTCACCTTTTTTTCTTGTTCTTGGGTGAGACAGGGGTGTAGAGGTATAGTGATCCTGAATCACATAGCATCTTAATTATTTAAATAACATTAAACTCTGTAGCAGTAAAGGCTTAAATTATTTTGAAAAAAGAAATTTCTAGTGATAATTCTAAATTGACTCTGATGATGCTTAAAAGAGGGAAATAGAATTAACTACTCTGTTGCTTCAGTATACTACCTTCTTTTTTAATTGTAAAAGGTTTATTCTGAGCCAATATGAGTGACCACGGCCCAGAGAAAACACAAACCCAAGAAGCCGTGATTAAGTGGTCCTTATTTTGACAGGAATCATAATAAAAAGATGATTGGCTACAGAAATTTAATTTTCATTTGGTTGCTTACATAGTAAGTAGGAAGTCATAAATAATGCATAATATCTCAATATTCTAGATTTTTTCAGGTTTAATTTCATACTAAGACATATTCTCACAAATTTACATTTATTTCAGATATTATATATGCTAAAAATTAAAGGAATATGCAGAGGGCAGAGTTTATAAAAAATAGAGACAGTGAAAAACAGAGACAAGGGAATATGTGGACAATTAAACTTTAAATATTTTTGAGAATTTTCCCTTTTCTTAAAATACAGCATCTAAGACAATTTATGAAGCTTGTCAAATATTGTTCTATAAATTCTTATATCATTTATAATAATAAGAAATTGATTAGAAGATGCAAAGTGGGAAGCAATTCTAAAACATAATTGCAGCAATATATCTAATATATCAAATATAATCAAGCTATATTTATTATTATTATTTTCTGAGACAGGGTTTGTCTCTTGTCACTAGGCTGGAGTACAATGGTGGGATCTCAGCTCACTGCAACCTCCGCCTTCTGGATTCAAGCAATTTTCCTGCCTCAGCCTCCCAAGTAGCTGGGATTACAGGTGCCCACCACTACACCTGGCTAATTACAATCAAACTGTATTTTTTAAAACACCACTGATAAATGCTGGCCATTCAAAATTAAATTTTTAATAAATAAGCATATCTAGTAAAATAATATATACCAATTAATTCACCTACCAGATTTGCAATGATGTAGTGGTACCCTTTAACATGTTTTCCAATGGTAATAACCTAATAAGCACAAATAAGTAATTATTTAATTAATACAAATAATGCAAGTGTAAAATTAATGGTATTATGATCTGATTCAGGGAAAAACGTGGAATTTTATCTGCTAGGTTTGTTGATGTGCCAAAATAAGTCATTTTTGATAAAATATAATTATCAAAATTAGATAATATTTCTCTCATAAAAAGTAATAATACATATTAACGCTTAATAAATGATTCTCTTTCAGGAAGTCACTAAACAAAAATTATTACCTCATTTTTGTCAATAGTAAAAAATAAAACCACAGAATGTTAAGAAGCATGAAACCAAAGTATCTTTAGTCCATGACAAGTCAGAATTCTATTCCTACAAAGGCTATGTTTTTGTCTTTTTAATAAAACATTAAACATCTCAAACTGTTTAACATCTGAGATTTTATATTCATATGTCTATATTCAAATAAATACACCTAGAGTTTATAGTACTACATACATTTCAAAAGAATATTTAAAAGCATATAAAAGAATTCTTACATGGATATGTAAAATAACATTCCTATCCTAAGGACCGTGAAATGTTTATAATTTAGTCCAAAGGGACATTATTGCCAGCTCTAGAGAGCAAAGTATCAGAGAAGCTAATTTTTCTCCACAAACCCAAATCTAAAATGAATGTCAAGATAAACACAGCATGAAACAAGTGGTCATCGTTGTAATGCTGACAACGGTTTTGGACATTATTGATCAATTTGACTTTTGAATGATCTGTATCAATTACGAAGAGAGTAGAAATAGGCAAACTGGCCATGCTTTAGTCCTGGTACAGGGACATTCAAATGTAATGTAATGTATGTTTTTTAAGGAGATGATCACAACAGTGGAAAGCATGAAATGTTAAGGCTATAGACAAAAATTCAAACCAAATCATTTCTCTGATTAAATGGTTTTGGTGAGTTTTGCTTTCCAAAGTCCAATGATCTTGCAAGTTTCTGAGGCTCAACTTTCCTATTCTGTACCCTCAAGTCACATTGGCCCTTTTAGGTTTTTTTGTTCACAGGGAAGCTTCTTCTCATCACCTTAGGGCTTCACACATTTTGCTTCCTCTGCTTGTCTGCTTGGAAAGCTCCACCACTATATCCTTTGCCTTATTAACTCTTGAACATTCTTACACCCCCTGGGAGAAAACTACCCTGACTTTCTCTAATCGGATACAAAGTCAGGTGCTCCAGAGCAATGCTATTAGTTAAAGAGCAAGAACAAAATCCTAGGAATGATTCTACCATATGCCACTTTGATATTAAGCCATAGCTGTTTGAAAGGAAGTTAAAACTTACATTGTTTTCTGACTCAGTTTTATGTAACATGACTAAATTGCCTTTTCCAAGAAACTGAACCCTCCGTGTTAAGGGGAGAATTCTGAAGAAAAGATGTCCTTCTGAATGAAAAACATATAAATTAGCATCAGCTGAATCAGATTGATTATGTCCCTCCTATTTCCTGCTGACATCTGTTAGCTCTGCTTACTGTACATTCTACTCTCTGAATCATCCATGTCTTCCTGCTGAGAAATTTTTTAAAAACATAGTATAAAAGGTTGTATCAGTAGTCCCTACTTGAGTTTACTTGAGAGAAAGGAAGGATATGAAAATTCTCTACCCCAGCATCTATATAAAAATTTGCACTGGCCATACTAACCACCATGTCTTTGTGTTATAATAACAATTATTATTGCACTGACAATGGAAAAGTTATATTAATTTATAAATGTTTTTGATGGCTGAATCTTTTTACCACCTAATAATAACTAGAAATCTGTGCTGTCAAAGTTTTATAAAATGATAATAAAATACCCATAGTCCACGCCTGTAATCCCAGCACTTTGGGAGGCCAAGGCGGGCAGATCATGAGGTCAGGAGTTCGAGACCATCCTGGCCAACATGGTGATACCCGGTCTCTACTAAAAATTACAAAAATTAGCTGGGCGTGGTGTGTGCCTGTAATCCCAGCTACTCAGGAGGCTGAGGCAGTAGAATCTCTTCAACCAGGGAATTGAAGGTTGCAGTGACCTGAGATTGCGCCACTGCAGTCCAGCCTGGCGACAGAGCGAGAATCTGTGTCAAAAACAAAACAAAACAAAACAAAACAAAACAAACAAACAAACAAAAAAAAACCCATAGCCTAATAAAATTTAATTTATTGCTAACTTCAAGCTACTGTTGCAATAAGGAGTGCTATCTCATCTCTGTTGTCTTGAAAAAACACTGGTTGAGTGAATAAACATTGTTTCTTTTTTTTTTTTTTTGGAATGTACCTTATCCTCATTTTTTGCCAGGTAATCTATTCCTTGAACAATATCCCAATCTAAATTAATTCTTTCTGTAATGATCTCTCATAGCATACCATTCTTTTCATTTATAGTGTATCCCATTAGTATAATTATATATTAATTTCTGTAAATACATTATTAATAGTTGCACTGATGGTGGCTGGCCTATTGTTTAACATTGCTTCCTTGGATCTACTGCAGTGCCTGCCTGGCAAACATTAGACACTCAGGGAATATTTACTGAACAAATAAATGAATGAATCCAAGCAAAGCCAAATGCCACGTCTTATGTGAACCCTTCACAAATTGTCCTTCCCCTTTTAAGAAAGGTTCTTTCTCCTCCATGTCCTAGACTACATTGCATTTTAACTTGTAATTCTGTAGTGCTGTCTGTGTACATTGTGTACATTTTTATCTCTAAGCAATGAGTTCATGGGATGCAGACATCACTCTTTCTTACCTTTCTTTGCATCCCTCATTTCAGGCACAAAGCATGGCCTCAATAAATGTTTGCTGAGGCCATCCATTGCATGTGCTCATTTAATACATTCAAGGGACTTATAATATATATGTGCAAAATACTCTGCATTTTGAATAGATGTCCATATGGACGTTTATGTAATCAAAACATCACTTACAATATATTCCCGTTTGCTTTTGTAGTTTCTCTCTTCTCATTTTGGAAAAATATATTTTTATATAGTCTTTCACTAACATTTATTATGATGAGTCATGAATCCTTAAATTTTTTAAACCAAAGACTAATGAATATTATTAAAATTCAGTTTTAATGAGAACCTCTATGAAATTCAAATGCATTTTTGAGGTTCACATTTGAACAAGAGGCCTTCAGGTTAAAAACAATCTTAACTTCATCTCTTGAGACTAGAATCAAGATTTTCTACTGAAATTATTCACCTCTCTGGCATTCAACATTTAGTTCTTTTGCATAACAAGTTAGTTCTATTCAGTTATTCAATATTCCATGAAAGATCTATTTTGTATGTCTTAGGGCCTGTATTATTATATATCAATTAGGATTTAATCAACATTTATGTTACAGAATGTTTTGTGTTGAACAAATTAATGAATCAAATTTTTTCCTCAAAGCTAGAAGAGCCAAGAAATGCATACACAAGTGTGTATTTTCCTTGCACTTCCACAGTATTCTAAGGCACTAGCAGCCACAGTGTATACTATTGCCCCTTGAACAACATGGGTTTGAACTGTGTGAATCCACTTATACATGGATTTTCTTCCACCTCTGCCACCTCTGAGGCAGCAAGACCAACCCTTCTTCTTCCTTCTCCTTTACAGCCTACTCAATGTGAAGATGATGATGATGAAGGCTTTTATGATGATCCACTTCCACTTAGTGAATAGTAAATATGTTTTCCTTATGATTTTCTAAATAACATTTTCTTTTCCCTAGCTTACTTTATTATAACAATATGGTATATAATACATATAACATACAAAGTATGTGTTAATTGACTGTGTGTTATCTGTAAGGCTTCTGGTCAATGGTAGGATATTGGTAGGGTCAACTGTATAAATACATATATGTGCACATATATATGTACATATATGCATATGTATACACACACATATACACTCATACTCACACACACACACACACACATTTTCAGCTAGGAAGAGATGCAGATATCAGTAAAGGAGACCTTATTCAATCAATCATAATGTTGATGCTGTGCCACTATCATCCCTAGTCACTTACCCTATTTGTAAATCATGGTGGATTTTACCTGTATTATTAAGATAACACTGCATGGCTCCCCTACCCTGAAAGACCTTAAACTGAAGCAAGGTAGTATCTAAGCACAGATAAAAATATCCTTATCACTGGTGTCAGTGATTCTTTCAAACAGTCCAAGGGGATGCATCTAGTTTACTTCTCAAATAGCAAACACAGCCCAAATGTGTCCTTCCTACATATTTTAATTTCACAAATCAATGTTTTTTATAGTGGCACAAGTCCCTTAACAGAAGAAAAAAAATATATCTTGCAAAGATAACTACATACTCTTTCTGGAGGCATAGATGGTCTATGTAACTCCAAAAATTTCATGAATTACTCACTTTTCCCTTAGAACTCAACTTGTCTTAAGTTAATACATGTCTATTTCTTTAACTCTAAAAAGTTCATCAGACTTAAATTTAAAATTTTCAAATGAAAATATCAAAGTTTAGGGTAACATTTATCATATAAAACATAAAAGTCAGGAATTATTTATTGAATTTATTTAATGATTAACATGATGTGCCAGCATTACTGATGACCATTTGCTATTGCTAACTGAAGCCAGAGATAATTTAATTGATGATCTTTGCTGCATCCGACATAAAACATAAAGCAAAAACTGCTGTTCAAGCACCTTACACAAATACACATTGCAAATGCTGACATTGCATGCATATTCTATATCTGGCATCATTAGAAAACAGAAAGTAGCAAACCTGGTCTACAATGTCGTTTACTTTATCCCTTTCACAGTCCAGAATTACACGCCGTTCCTTTTTTAACTCCAGATCTTGAAAAAGTGATCGGTACATCTCATCTTTCTTGTCATTGTTAATGTTTCCCACATTGATAGCAGTCACTTGCCATTTCTTTTCAGCAGCAGAATCCAGCACAGCTTGCAGTGTTGATAAGCCTAGGAAGGCAAAGAAAAATGATGACTGATAAAGATACGTGAATAACTCAGGATTGTGTTATGAAATTGCCAGTGAATATATTTTTAAGGAAGATATATTTGTGCAACTAAAGGAATGTTGACTCCTTCAAAAAAAGCTATAGCTATGATCTTTATCACCTTCTACTTATGTCACTTCACATCAAAAACTCATTACCTAAATATTACTATTCTGACCAAAGGAGTCATTATTTGAGTAGAAAATAATATCCTTTTCTTTCAACACCCTCAGCTGTCTTCTTTAGAGTATTACTAAAGTGTAATGTTAATATCTTTGGTTTAAGTGAAATGAAATGGCATCACAAACATTTCTTACTCTTACAGAATGGAAAAAAATTGTTTAGTCATACATGATAGTCTGTCATTTGATATTAGTATCCTGAAGAAGACGAGTACATTTTGAATGAGGAATCTATGTAAGTCTATGTGAGGATAAGAGGCAATATTCTTTATGAGGCTGCTATATTTTCTCCTATTGTTTTCAAGTCAGCAGTTTGGGTTCATTTTTTTTTCCTTCCACAGTCTTCTGTTATGTTATTTTTTTTGTTATTGGGAATGATCCCAGAGAAATTGAAGTGGTCACCTATTAACCAGATGGTGGCAGTTATTTCTCTAGCATAGATTTACTTCTCTTTCCAAATATGTCTATTTTCCTGTTAGTAACTTTGCTTATAGCATCATATCACTTGGAAAATTTTTATTGTTTTTTTAATTGTCCATATATTACCTCATATTTAGGACTAAGAGTTACAACAACTAGAGGATTTATTTCCTGAAAAGTTATATCCTCAGTTTAGCACTTGGAGACATGCTACATAAACTTGTCTTTCATATTATTTCTACTATTCACAGCAAAACCAAATTCATCATTTATACTGATAACTTAATAAACAACGCAAAATCGAGACTCCAGAATGAATCCAGAACTCAGCAAATCATCTTCCTTATTCTAGAAAAGCCTGCATCTTTCTCTAACAATATTAGTCCCTTTTGATTAATAAAATGTAGGATTCACCTAATGTGAACATATCTCTTCAAAATCTAAATTCAGATACCAAATTTTATTTAAATCTTTTTGCTATGAAAAAGAGTCAATTATCAATTTTGTTGAAAACTATTTCAAAAAAGAAAAACCACCATTAAAAATTTTATGGATTCAATATTGGCCAAAAAGTGTACAAGATGAGTCTAAAACATCTTATGACACCAGAAGGGAAGGAACTCTCTAAAACCATCAGCATTACCTCAAAGCACACAGGAGCTAATTTGAAGAGGAGCTCTTTAAATAAAGATGGGAACATTTGAATATTAATTAGAATAATAAATGCGAAATACTTAAATACATAAACTGTTTTAAATCTATGAAATTATGTTTTAAAAACGTGCTTGACTTTGGTAGATGCTAGGGAACCAATTAATTAATTTGAAGACTGGTAAATAATGAAATAAAACAAGCATTTTCCTGCATTTCCTATATGAACCACTTTCAGGGTAATAATGAACTAAAGATATTTATTTTTGGAAATACTCTAGCTAATAGATGATGGATGAATATATATTTGAAATTATCACCATCTTGTAACACCTACGGAATTAATGAATCAAGACAACAAACATCAACTACTGGTAACTACCCAAAAAGAGAGATAACAGAGATATGTCTCCAAATGATAATATTCAACCCACCTATTTTGGTGTTGAATAGGTATATACCTATTTAGTGTTGGCTACATTCATGCCAATAATGTAAACTTGAATTTCATCACACTTCTAAATCTAACTACCAAGTTATAGGGCATATATAGAAGAAAATATTTTAAGCACCATAGTGTTGCAATCATCAAAATCTAGACTGTGGGAAACTGCATTACATTCTAAGAGTCTTAAAAATTATGTTAACTAATTGCGATATATGGATCTCATTTTTATTTTGCTTCAAACAGTGGAAAAAAGAATAATATTTATGAATTGTTAATTGTCTAGGTATAATAATACTATTACCATTATATTTAAAATATAAAAATCATTTTTTCCAAATAAACACTGAAATATTTACAGATGAGATGGCAGGATGTCTGGTATTTGTTTCTAAATAATTGCAGGGAAAAAAAGAGATATAGATCAAGCAAAATTGCTCATATACTAGTCTTTAATAAAGCCATGTTAAGAGTGTTTGGGAATCTTTATAGCATTCTAATTTGTTATTTAAAATATTTTAACATAAACATTAAAAATAATTTATTTTTATTTCAGAATGGAAGATTGAACCACATGCTGAAAAAAGTTAACTTTTTTTCTGGCAAAATGAAATTAGTTTCCTCTGTCCAGTCTTCTGGCAAAAGATATAAATAAACCTAAATTTCTCAAGGGATAATGTAAAAAGACCATATGTCATTTTTTGAAACTTTCAGTGACAGATCTTTAAAACACATCACAGATCGCCTATGATTTCCATACACTATAGGTCAGTTAAATCCTTCCCTTTTCATCTGCAGAGACAGAACACGCACAGCTGGTCATTATGATCAATTCGACAGCTATCAATGTACTTGAAAACAGCCATTAAGTCTACCCACTTTTCTCTGCAAGTAAGAGAAAAAGAAATCTAAATTCTAAGCCACTTTCCATTTGCTGGGTTCTACTTTCCTACATCACAGTCATGGTTCAACTCCCCCTTGTCACCTTCTTAAAGACATTATATCCATGGATGGGGGTCTCTGTGCTATTCATATATTACCATATAGAAATTACCAGTAAGCATCCTTATTCTCTGAAATAGCTTATTTCATTTTGTTTATTTAATTATAAAGCATACTATATAATACAATTTCAAGTGGTAATGCTCTTAATATTATGTCTCAACTTTTGACATATATTATAAGAAAGTTTAAATATAAATGACACTTTGTAAATGGATTTCACCAAGTGGAAATCCTAAATCTAAAATTTCCGGCAGTTCACCTTGCAAAAGAATATAGAGATGATGTATAAAATCAAAAAGAATGCATTTAAAGAAATGCCTAACTTGCGCCAGGTGCGGTGGGCAGATCACTTGAGATCAGGAGCTCAAGATCAGCCTGGCCAACATGGCGAAACCCCATCTCTACTAAAAATATAAAAATTAGCCAGGCCTGGTGGCAGGCGCCTGTAATCCCAGCTACTTGGAAGACTGAGGCAGGAGAATTCCTTGAAGCTGGGAGGTGGTGATTGCAGTGAGCCGAGGTCACGCCACTGCACTACAGCCTGGGTGACAGAGCGGGACTCCATTTCAAAAAAAAAAAAAAAAAAAACCAAGAAATTTCTCTGACTTTCAAACTCATTTGTTCTACGTGTCAAAAGTAATTTACAGTGGCTGTGGATTCAGGATTCACTGTTATTAAAACTCTCAAGATTAATATTTTGTAACCTATGGAACCTAACAAAACTTACATATTATTAAGAAACTAAACTGCTCAAGTAGTGCTGTATCAGACTTAATAAATTCAGTTTCATCAGAAGACACTGAATAATATTAAATTATCTCCTAACAACAGGCAGAAGTAATTCACAAGTGATTGCATTATCTGACGTGTAATTTGAAGAGACCACCATTCAATGCTTAATAACCCATTTCCCTAGGTGGTTTTTTTTCAGTAATAGTAACTGACTCTCAAACTCTCTCTCAATTTGATCTCCTCACCTCATTCCTCACAACTAAAAGTTTTATATTGTCTGATTTCTTTATAATCAATATACCATTTTTAAATTTGAAAATCACTGAAAATGTATATGAAAGTGAAATTAAACTCTTCAAACATAACACAGATTTGTGCTCTTGACCTCTTTGTACCGTATTCAATTACAGGAGAAAGTATGACTTGAGATCTGCCTCTATTCCTTCCACACAAACTAGCACAGAAGTATCTATAAATATATTCATCCTGTAATTCAGAATACAAAGTTGTATAGACAATGGGAGTTCTGCATAAACACTGGTTCATTTAAAGCTATTAGTATGCAATAGTTATTCAACTCTAATATCCATAGTACTACATTAGGATATTTGAATTTCTATAGCAGAGACTCACTTATTTTTATTGAATTACTTAAAACAAAACTGTTGAGATACATAGTTGATCATCTAAAAACAGAAGAAATCTGGAAGATTATTCCTCCTGGTAAATATATTTAAAATATAGTATGTTCTTTTAAACCCTCAAGAATATTGCTACAGTCTAAAAGTAAGTTCTAAACTCTACTGAATTCTTAGATGTTTTGCTAAAATAAAAAATGGCTAGATTACATAATGTTAAATTGCATTACTTCTTCATGTGCCTATTGTTACTGACTGGTTGTAGTTGTATAACCTATTCATAAAATGACAATCTTCCTAAAATTCTCCCAAAGTATTACTACTAGTCAGTCAGTGATAGTCTCATCTTGACCCAGTATTAATAACACTCTGAGTTATAGACAAGCCATCAGCCACCTGTCTGTATGCAAACCCTTTAAAAGGTCACCCGGTACACAGGGGAAGTCTGTCAGTTTGCACGTTAAAGGGTTAAATTAAAAATGATTACTGCCAAAATATACATTTTATTCAAACCATGTCTTACTGCTTAAAAATATTTTCTTTGCTCCATTTAAAATTAACTGTACTTATTCTTTCAAGCATATAAATTAATATTTATGATCACTAAATCATGGCAGCATGCCTAGGCCAAATTAGATTAACATATATTTCCCTCATCAGCTCTCTCAGGAATATGAGGGAAAAAATTATAATTTGAAAGCATTTTTGTTCTATGCATGATGTTTTCTTGGAACTGCAGGCAAAGTGCCTTCCCTTCAGAGGACAAATAATATTGCTCGATATTGAAACCAAGATATACAGATATAAAGTGCTAATTCTGTTTTTACCTACTCTCTGTAGAAATGTATTATCTTACCTTGTTGACACTAAACCAATAAATAAAAACCACATTTGGATTAAGTCCTGATTCAAACTTACAACATATATATCCAAAAATAAAACTATTATATAATGTTGAATGCATTAACATAGATAACCCCATTGCTCTATTGTTAAAAATGTGTTGAATTTCTCTTTATGGAGTGATGATATGCAGTTTTCAGGGTCATCAAGGAGTGTCAGGCTGTTGCCACATGGCCTGGGTAAGGAGAAGACACCAGCAACCTAAAAGATCACCTGGCACCAGATGCAGAGTTTCAGCTCTCCTCTCACCAGTAAACTTAGATTAGTCAAAGAGGGTTCCATACAAAGATGCTGCTATACAAAGATGTTTCTATCCATGCATCCATGTCTCTAATTGTTTAAAAGTGGTATATAGTCTCTTGGCCTGTTGCTCAGCATTGTGGCAGATAGCCAGGAAGCAGGAATGGCTTTCACTAGCTAAAGGTAGTGAAACTAAGCAGCATATAACAATTTCAAGTCATTTTCATCTAGTTCATGATTAGGGCAGAATGTTGGGAGATCATTTTCACATTTGGACCCTATGCTATTCCAAAGAACAGTAATTTAGACATTATAATTAACCAATATATATTCCTGACCTAGACTCTCTAAAAAGTGAGGATGATTAGAGCCTAAAAATAATCACATAATCAAGGAGGTGAAGAGACAGCCCATCAAGAACAGACCAAATTGTTTGAAACTGAGGCATGTAGAGATCTAAGTAGAGTGATGAAACCATGGGATCTATTTTCCAGACTGTGGTTAATGTGGACAAAGGGAACACAGGTGCATTCTTCAAATCATGTGACACTAAAGCAAGGAGGTGCCTACTTTGAAGCATAAGCAAAATGATTTCGGACCAAATGGGGGAAAACAGTTCACACACTAAATGTATGAATAAACTCGTTAAAATGTAGCATGATGGCAAAGCCATAAAAATTAAGTCATTAATAAGAAAAAAACAAATAGCAAAAATTCCATTTCCATGAGCCAAGTAAAATATTACACAAAGGTCAAGTCTTTTGCCAGTATTATGAGAGTCTTACATATTTATGTCTGAAAATAACTTCAGATAGAAGGCCACTGAAATATTTTTCACATTAAAACATCAATAGCTACTTGATAACACCTTGAAAATATATCCATAAGGTCATTTTGGCTTTAATATATTATTACTTAATATTATCACTCTAACATTTTTATCTCAACAGATGCACTTGAACTCAAATCAACTTGTATAATTTAATAATTGTAGATTATCTCATCACTTCAATTTCATTTAATATTTCTAAGTATTAATAAAAGTATTTTAAAATGTTCCAGATTTTTTTCACAAGTACGTAAGTCCATCCATCTTCACAGGCTAATTCCAGAGCCTGTCTTTTGAGTATCTCTCCTCACACACTAGAGTTTCTCTTTTTTTAAACTTGTATCAGCTGTTGTCTTTTTGAATTTTTCTCAAAAGTTCAGTTTTAACTAGAGGGAGCAATGGTGAGGGTAAGGATGAAGGCGAAGTGTATTCTTAAACTAAAAATGCCATCCTCAGTCAACCTTATCAAAGTGTAAAGAGAATTAGTCATTCAATTCTTCAATTTTGCAAGCAAAATTTAGCTTATAAAATCACCTTGAACTTAAAATACTGTACACATATGTTTAACTCATTTACTTATTAACACCATTTACTGAACATTAACTCTCTTTCTAGCATTATCTGAAGCACTGGGTACAGAGTCATGAGCTGAATATCTAGTACACTGAGCACTGCCTGGGCACTCTTTTCCTGGAGCTTATTGCCACACCTTACATGAAAAACATAATGCTTATCCTATGACACTAAGACAGTCCCTGGAACATAGCAGGGGCTCAATAGGCAATTCTTAAGTGACAGAATGAACATCACCCATTCATTATAAATTGTCCTAAGTACTATAAAGGAAAAGAGATTGCTTTGAAAGATAACAGTGTGAAAGGCATCTCTGAGGAAATGATATATGAACCCAGTTCTCAAGGAGGAGTAAGAATTAGTGATACAGGCAGAGATTTGAAGTGAAAGAGTTTGGTGCATCTGAGAAAGTGAAAGAAGGTCAAATGGATTT
The DNA here is from genome assembly GCF_000001405.40 of Homo sapiens. Lineage (NCBI taxonomy): Eukaryota > Metazoa > Chordata > Mammalia > Primates > Hominidae > Homo > Homo sapiens. Next base: position 157,305,589 of record NC_000004.12, on the reverse strand, counting down.
ACCTTTAATGAGTGAGCAAGACAGCAGAATGCAATGGAGAGTTGAGTGGGAATTGGATATTATAAGACCTTAAAGCCAACTAAAATTTTTCAATGTTATCCTCATCATAATGAGAAGCTATTGAAGTATTTTAAACAAGAGAGTAATGCAGTCCAAAAAAAATTTTTTAACAGTAATTCCTGCTACTTCATAGAAAATGGATTAAAAAAAGACAAGGGTGGAACTGGAGAGATGAGGGACTGAACACATTATGGTGGCTTGGCCTGGGGTAATGGCAACGACAAGGATGAGTGTCTACAGACATATAATTAGGCAGTGGAAATCACATCAATAGGATGCAAGGATGAAAGAGGTATTAAGAATACACCCATATTTCAGGCTAGCTTGAACAACACAAAATACTAAAGAAGTTAGCAGAGAACAAGAGGAAAAACTAAAAATTATTTAATAAGCTCAGTTTTATAAGCCCTTTTATCACATTAATAAGTGTGCGTCGGAAACATCCAGCACATTGAAATCTGTATTTACTGTAAATGATTCTCGGTTTTAGTTTTTAATTCCCTATGGGAATAGCAAAGCACTCCCTTCTCAAAGCAGGGGGACATAGTTGTTGACACAGCAAATTTTTTTTCAGCTTGTATAGTGCTGACTGGCTTTTCCACTGAGTGTTCTCATTCCCAGGATTAGGAGGACAGGGCAGAGAATCAGACACCTAGCTCCTGCACTCCTGACTCGAGCTTGCTGCAGTAAATGACTACAAACTGATCAATGGAGAATTGACTGACGGCTGGCTCTCTTCTTGTCTGCCCTTGTGGGTTAACAAGGTGCCCTATCTTGGTCGAAATAGGCTTCTGGGTTTTCATTTGAACCTACAAATATTCCAGGAAGCAAGCTGCTGAGGGAAGCACAGTATGGTACTTAGGTACTAGGACAATCGTTGTCCCTCACCGCTTTGACTTTGATTTACGGATACTCTCTCTAAAAACATATCCATATGAACACACACACACAAGATGTTTCATACAATTTAGGGAGTACACAAACCCACTGACACCCAATTACGGACCTGGGAATGGTTAAAAACACCTGGGATTCTATGACATAAATCAAGCAAGTCTGCTAATACTAAACTTCACAACAAGGGATATGAGAAACATACAGGTTGTACCTCCCTCCATTACATTTTAACATAATGAATCAAGACTGGCATGCTATTCAAAATCATCCCATTATAAACAATTATGTGGAATGGTGTCAAAAGCATAGGTTTGGTATCAGAGACCTGTGTGTAAGCTGTACCATACGTGGGTTGATCCTGAGAAAAACCTTTAACTTCTCTGAGATTCGGGAATCTTGTTTTAAGGCAAGGGCAATAATAATGCTACCTGCCTGATAAAACTTTTGCATATAACAATATTTAATAACTGTATGTTACTGTCTGTTTCACTTAAATGTACTCAAGCCACTTCATTCACCTTGGACTAGTAGTATAGCTGTCATAGACTTTTAGCTGCTGATGCAAAAAATTGCTTTTTATATTACAACTGAATATTTGGTCATTGGGTTGATACAGTCTATCTCTCTAAGTTGTACACAGACAGCTTTTGTAGTTGTTGTTGTTGTTTTACTCTAAATATGTTTCCCAGGTTTTAAATTGCATTAGTCATTATCACAGCAAAATTAAACCAAGGGATCCTTGGGCTTTATCACACCTTTGTAGCTTTATAACATCCATAGAAGTGTCAAGTGTAGGCATTGAATTCGCCCCATTACAAAGAGATGAGATACTGTCACTTACCTCTGTCACTGTCATAGAGGTATGCAAACTTGTCCCATTGATAGTATTCAATCAAGCTAAGGAGAGCTCCTTTGAGGTCGGGTCTCATCTGAATGACAAATGGATGTGTGCCATCTGTTGGGAAGCTGGGAGTGATGAAGGAGACGTGGAGTGTTCCGCAAAATGATGTGATGGTATTTACAGACTTCTTGTCATAAAATCCAAAAATAGCATAGACTCCTCTCGAAAACTGGGAGCAGACTAGAAGAATAGGAAAAATAGAAAGGAAAAATCATTGAAATTGGCACACAATCATATGAATTTGCTTAAAACGTAATGTCCTTTTACATAAAATACAAAATTAACATATTGAAAGAAATATAGATTTAATGATCCATTGTAATTTATTAACACTTATTTACTTAGCATTCTATTTGTGGGATCTAAAAGATTCTAAAGCATAAAAAGTAGTTCTGGTTACAAGAAAATGCAAACATCATTGTTTAACAAGCTATGTAAGTATTAACATATTTTAGGAACAAATATGAAAAATGTATGGGTAAAAAAAATTAGCTATAAGAACAAACTGTAGTCTCCTAAGATTTATACACATTAATGACAGCTCATTCCCTACATAATCCAATTCCTTTAAAAATCTTTACTGTATTTATGATGCTTTTACATCTAAAAGTTAATGTGCTTCCATAGACTCCAAATGCTGACCAAAACCTCTTTAAGACAAGATAGATACCAGACTCCCCGATAAATACAGACGCATGTCCCCACAAAGCTACTTCTGTCATATTGTGTCACTCAGTCGAGAAGCAATTAAATAAAGTCCAAAACTTTGCATTTTAATCTTCCCCATGGACCTAACTTACCCTATATGTTACACTACATATTAATTCTTAAACAAATAATAATATAGTATTGTATTTGCACATCCTCATCACTCCCACAATCCCCCATCCTCTTCCAATATTTCTATTTCCAGTGAATGGCATATGACACTATCTGCTTTCACTCCTTCCCCCAAAAGTCAGTCCATAACTAAGTTATGTGCTCATTATAATACCTCGATATACTCAAATAAGGGCCACTTATTTTTCTCCCCATTCCAAACATCCTAGTTCACTGACAGTATATACTTAACATTGTGCTTGCCCTGTGCCTGGCATGTTCTAGGGTACATTAATTCATTTTTTTCTCATGATAACTTTTGAGGTAGGAACTATAATTATTTCCAACTTACTGATAGAAAGATTGACACATAGAATAATATTAAGTGAACTACCAAAGACACTTGCATAGGAGATAGATGCTACATTCAAAATAGAAAGTCTGGATTCAGAATCCATGCTCTTAATTAAAAAGTAATATGGCTTATCTTACCCAACTAGTGAAATATCTACCCAACTGTCCTCCTTCCTCCACTTACATTCCTTCCATTCAATTCTCCACAATATAATAAGAATAATATTTTGAAACATAAATCCAGTAATATCTTTTCGAGAAAAAGGGTTACTTTGTCCAAGACTGATCCCCTGTAATGCTCTACAGAGCACTGACGATCCGCAGAACAGTGCTTAAAGCTACTAGTAAAGTCAAATATGTGTCTTTTTTTTTTTTTTTTTTTGAGACACAGTCCTGCTCGTCACTCAGGCTGGAGTGCAGTGCAGTGGTGCGATCTCACCTCACTGCAACCTCCGCCTCCCGGGTTCAAGCGATTCTCCTGCCTCAGCCTCTCGAGTAGCTGGGATTACAGGCATGTGCCACCATGCCCAGATAACTTTCATATTTTTAGTAGAGACGGGGTTTCACCTTGTTGGTCAGGCTGGTCCCAAACTCCTGACCTCGTGATCCACCAGCCTCGGCCTCCCAAAGTGCTAGGATTACAGGCATGAGCCACCATGCCTGGCCAAATATGTGGCTTTAAATAGATAAATAGCTGATATTTCTCAATCTCGGGGTCATTTCAATCCAAAAACTGGAAACCAGTCATCCAGAAACACAATCTAACAACCTAGAACATAACATCTACCATCCTTTTAAAATAATCCTTTTTGAAGGATAAAACAAACCCTATCTTATATCATTGTATTTACTTCACAAAAATAGATGGTCTGTAGAAAAAATAGATTTGTTTCATGAATACGAGCATTGCTAAAATATGTACAGATTCTAATTGCCAATTCTAGACAATCAAAAAATATTAGGCAATACTGTTTAGTAACTGTTGTACGGTATGAATCCAAAGGAAAGCAAGATTGCCTCTTTAAGTGGCCCTTATTTGCCGAAAACCTGTGTAATATGTAAATTTACACATCCTTTATTACCAATCTTCTACAAAGCAGACTGAAATATCTCAAAAAGCAACTGAATGCATTTCATTACATTTATTTCACACCTTAACATAAGGCAAAGATGAAATAACTGTCTTTTATTCATGCCCATACTTTTTGTTCTTGTCTGGGTACAGAGTTGAAAATAACCTTTAGTGTATTTGATAACTATGTCCTTTCTTCACATACATGAAAAATAGCTTTCATCTCACCTAGGAAAACTCTGCAGTGATTTCTTATTTTATACATAAGTGTATGTGTACTGACAGGTATATCTTAAATCTTAAATTTGTTCAGCAATTGATGATTCCAAATGACACATAAAAGAAAGACTTGCTATAAAATTCTCTCTGGGTCTATTTAATTCCATTTCCCTGCAAAGTGTGGGCATGTCATCTAGGTACTATAGGAATATCATGCAATATGATTTATTAATGAGACCTCTTCTCATCTTAAGTGAAATAGCTTCTGTGATGAAAACAGCAGCCACAGCATCAGCAGGATGCCTGATAAAGAATGCCACTGTTTGAATACACAGACAAGCTTAATAAGGAGCCATACCTTTCATTTTCGATTTGTTTTAGGCCCTGGAGTGAGTTGTCAAGGGACCTCCTGGTTATTGCGGCCATCTGGAAACACTGGCTTTGACCCAACAACAGGCACAAGCTGCACACAACTTCATAAGGAATGATCCACCTAACTCAGAAGACAATTTATTTTTCCCCATGCACTTCAGCTAATTCTCCAGTGAACCTATTTTTACAACAATAGCTCTTCTCTCCTGACTCTCTTTGGTCTCCCTCAACCCTCTCTTCTTATCCTTTATTTCTTCATTGCACTTACTCAAGTGTCCATTTGCATATATCCTCTATTTTTCTGGATATTTCTTTCTTATGTCCCCTGACTATGCATACAGTTAACAGCCATTCGGCCAACAGTGCTCATTTCCCTCTCTGTACCTTAGGACAGTCACTGTCTCTGTCCCCAAGCAGGATAAGAATGCCACTGAGATTTACAGCCAGGAATCAATCAAATCCATCAGAATGCTTACCTAAACTAAGGTACTTTGCTTGCCCCGTTTGTGGTAACCATCTGAAGATGAAAAACTTAGCACTATGCTTCTAACATGTTATCCCCAAATATCCAAGACTGTTCGTATTTAAATATTGATGCTTGCCCCAATTTAGCATAGGCAGCATAACCTACTGACACCTTTCACAAGAATATTAGCTGCAGTACTTTGGAATTACTCTTTACTTCATTAGAAGGGAAATTATTCATTTTCATCTTTACCTTATTCCCCAATGATGCCTCCAAAATTTAAAGCCATTTCCTTAACTTTGATCCATCCTGTAATGAAGGAAGGTTTACTACCACCGAGACTATCAGAAATAACGTGTCATAAACTCTGAAAATCAATCCAAAGACAACTTTCTAAAATGAGTTATACAATACCAACACCCTATATAGTCACATCTGGAGGCAAAGAAAGAAACATGAATCCTCATTTTCACCTCCAGCTTCATGACCTTCACAATAACACTGTGAGACACTATTATAAGTTTCTCAATGATAGTCCTGATTAATATTAGAATTGCATTTATGTTTTGAGATTCAAACCAGATTGCAAAGGAGTAAGTAAAGATGCTCTCACTGAGTTCTGTAATTAAATATTTAATATCAACTTTGAGAAACTCAGCAAAGGGCAAGTCCTTCTAAAAGACACTTTATGTCAAACAGCAGAAATGATAATCTCCTGGGTATAAGTAATTTGCTGATTATTTCACTTTTTATTACAAGCCCAGATGATATAAGCCAACAACAATGCTGATGGTGCATCCAACACATCTTTTTCTCTTAGGTCACTCTGCTCATTGGTGCTGCTAATGTAGCATACATGATACAGTCTGTATGCTGAACAAAATCTAAATAGCCTCGCATAGTTATTGAGTAGAAAGGGAGAAGAACTGAGTATGTTTTTTTTGTTTTACATATTTTAGATTTATAAGTTGAGATTCACTTCAATGAATCAGCATAGTCTGCTTCATAAGCAGAAATGGCAACAACCTCTTTGCAGTTTGAACAAAAACTGGTAAAAGCTGCATCACCAAGGAATTCTGACATCAAAATATGGAAACCACTGAAAGCCTCTCTCCTTCTCTCCTAAACTTGTGACATTAACCCCATGCATAGTTTGCCCCTGATTTCAGTACTGAAATTTCCCTATCATCTGTTAGTAAGGATCTCCTGGTAACTAAAAATAATCATCTCTTCTTTGGATCTAGCTTTCTTAGCTTCTCTGAATTTATTAGACCAAAATTTGCCTCTTAAAATTCTTTCCCTTTCCGCTGCTACTAGTCTTGCTCTCTTCTAATTCTTTTCCACATAGCTGCCAAGTAAAATTATACCATCTTGGTACTTTTCCTGTCGCTCTAATTATCTTTCACTGCCTTATCTTCTTCCTACATCCTAAATTAAAAAGACCTTCTCCAAGGATTTGTCTTCCAATTGTTTTCTCTTATCTTCTTTCACTCTGCCTCTTAGTGGTCTCACCCCTTTCCACAAGGTCAAATTCAATTTTTATGCACATATTTCCCAAGCCTTCACTATTATCCCAGTTATCTCCTAAAACTATTTATTTACCAAAAAATGCACTGTAAATATTCTATGTGACAAGCATAGTGTTAGGTTTAGAAAATGCACAACAAAGAGGATGAGTATTGTGAGCTGATTCAGGAAAAAAACGGAATTTTATCTACTATGTTTTGGTGTTCCACACTGAGTCATTTTTGATAAAATATAACGTTCAAATCTAGAGAATAGTTCTCTCTCAAAAAAAAAAAAAAAAAAAAAAAAAAAGCTTAGCTTCAATCTGTCACCTTCCAGTGTCCCTCAGTTCATTATATGGAAACTTCTAAAACCATATATTTCCAACTAATTCCATAAAAATAATGAAAAAATGTTTTATTTTATTCTGATGAACCATATCTATGTGTTTATTTTTCCCTTCCTGCTCATGCATGATAACTATTGCCATCATTTATATGCAATAGTTCAGAATAATGACCTTCTTGCCCTTTCTTGTCCTATGCATGTCATCCATCACCATTTAAATTTTATTCTACTTCTTTCATTGCACATTTACAAAGCACTTTTAAGAACCTACTATGCACTGTTCTAGGTTTGGGGAAGACAGTATTAAGCACAACAGGTAAGTTCCCCACTTATATGAAGTTTCCATAACAGTACTTCTTAAGCATCTCTTGCACCTTCACTTTCCTTTTCTTTCTCCTTGGTTCTGCCATGTGACCCACCTCTTCTCTCTCCTTCCTTCAATTTACACTCTTGTCATATTAGTCTTCCTAAAGCACATCACATAAAGGCATCAGTCAAGGATCTGTCTTCCAATTTTTTTTCTTTTTCTTCAAAATCTATCTTTTAGCGGTCTCATCCCTATTAACAAGGTCAAATTCAACTCCTTATGCAAATATTTTCCAAACTTTCATCATCACCCTAGCTGTCATCCTTTATTTACTGATAAAAATATATACTGTAAATATATATTAATTTTTCAATAATGTATTTTCATGATTATTTTGTATTTATTTCCCTGTTGGTATAATTTTTAATTAAAAATATTCAATTCTTTCATGAACTCATGTGTGAGCTTTCTAGAATAAAAAAAGAAAAAAGAAATACATAAAATGCCACTGTTTTACAATATCTAAACACATATTACTTTAATCTAAACAATTAAATATCACAGAGAGATTATTATTCTGTTTTCAAGAATCTTGGGCGGCTCTGACCTCAGAAACAGCAGCTCTAGGGGCTAAAAGTGAGAACAAACTGGGTTTGAATCCTGGCTTTGCCATTTTCTATCTGGATTTATTGGGCAAGTTACTCTACTAGTCTGTCTGAGCTTAGTCATGTGTAAAAAACGATAAAAATATTACCTACCTGCCTCATTGTGGGACAGGGAAGTATTAAAGTAAACATAAGCTGAAAAGAGTGTTGGCCCTATGAGTCTCTCATGACTTTCCTACATCTTAATGTTCTAATTAATGTTGATATTAACTATTTATTAATCATGCACCAGGATTTTGCTCATATTTTCCTTTAGTCTAAAATTCATCAATTCCACAAGACAAGTGCTTATGTGTTGAAATAAGCCCATCTCTTCAGGCCAAAAAATGTTAGAATCACTCTTGACTTCTCTTCCTTTATTCTCAGCATATGAATTGTCACCAAATATTGCCCATTAGACCTCTCTATCTGTGCTCTCCAGCTCTCATGACATTGCCTTAATATGGTCCTTAAACATCTATTGACTAGATGGCTGAAATAACCTCTCAAAAAGCCTCCTTCATAATAAATCTTTTTCCTCTCATGGCAGATATAACCCTCCTGCTTAAAATCCATCAATTTCTTGCAATTGCTTAGAGAAGAGCACGTATAGCATTTGCTCAGGTGTTACCTGCTCTGTGTGGTCTGAATTACAAGCTGCTCCTGCATGTGATTCTAAAGCAATCTGCCTTTCTGTGTATTAGCCTGTTTTATATTTGTCTAGTTTGCCCATAAACTGTGAGCTAATTGAAAGGAGAGAATGAAGTGCCATTTACCTATGAATGCCTGTCAAGTACTTGGCACACAGCAGGCAACTGATAAATGTCATTTAATAACTACCAATTCTTCCAGGAAGGGTTCCTTGCTTGCCATCAACTGAATATGATCCTCCCTAATTATGAACTCCATCAGCACACTCCCCAGTTGCCCGAATCGGAAGCCCAGCTCTATGTTTCCCTGGGCACCTGGTAGAAGAGTCTCTGATCTTAAGCATGCTTCCTAATCTATTGAATGGGGCTATTAATTCCTCTCCTGTCTATCTCATGAGAATTCTTTTAAGTTTAAATTAGATAATATATAGAGATGTACTGGAAAAAATTATAAATTATTAGGTAAATGTGTTATTGACAATAAATAAACCACAATAATTTTTGTATTCTCTGCAATATCCAAATCAGAAGTTTTCACAATTATATAATCATTAAATATTTGTCAAATGAACATACAATCAGAACCAATGGTCTAGCAAAGACATAAAACGGGTTCTTATGAGAAAATTTCATTTCCGTTGATAGTGGGGTATTTCTGAAATCATGTCAAAACAATATTTTTATCCTTTGTTATCATTTTGCAAAATTACAGCTGTTAGTTTAAAATTACCTATGAAATGTAGTTAATTCATTCTCCTAATAGGAAAAAAGCGCAATCATTTTTAGTATGAAAATATAATATTTAGAATATTTGTGAAATTTTATTATTTTAAGATTTCCATATACATTTTGTAAGTGGAGAAGTTTGTACCAAGAAAGGGGACATTACCAACCTGAAAAAGTACACAGCGCAAGCTGCAATTGAAAACCTAAATGAAATGAGGTAAATTTTTTTGCCTGGAACATACATTGAATTTCTTTGCATGGAATATATGCCCAATAACAAATTTTGCACATGAAAATATAGAGAAAAATTCCCACAATTTCAAATGTCTTATTTACATAATTGAAATAAATTGTTAAAGTTTTAAAGTTTGTCGTAAGTGACATTTATTCCCCTAAAAATACAATTATTGTAACAGATAGTGCATGTAATGTTAGGTTTCCAGGTAAAAATTGGGGGGAATCATAAAAATAGACCTGTGATTTCTTTACTCTCACAAAATGTAGGTAAATACAATGTTCTCTTCTTATGATGAAATGAAGTTAAACCATCTACTTTGCATTAATGGGGTTATTTTAAAGTTCACTTTTCCACTGGGGCAAATTCTTTTCCTATCTATGGACAGAAAGGATTTCCCATTCTGGACCTGGCAGTGTAGCATCTCTCAAAAAACTCTCATTTCTTTAAAAGTCTACCCTTTACTTTGTTCACTCCTGTTCCCCAGAGCCCAGCAAAGTTCCTAGCACAGACACTCAATATATAGCTACTGAATGAAACACCAAGTGATTCAGAGGAAATGCAAAGAATAATAAACATACACCCCAATGACATTTTCCATAAATTGCCTCAATGATGATTTTCCCTATAGCTCTGCCACAAATATTTATGATGATAAATTACTTCTCTTTTGCATACGTTTTGATCTAATGTTTCACAGAAATACTAGATTGATGCAACATCATCACTCAGCAGTAGAAGACAATGAGGCTGTAATAATACATTTTTCTTTCTCTCTAACAAATATTTACCCCTCCTGACCTTCATGTTATGTTTGCTGAGTGAGGTAAAATGGCGAAAGTTTATTGCTGTTGCCCATATTATATGCAGCTTTAAAAAATCTATAACATTTATTCTGGCTTCATTCATTATCTGGGATAGCAGGCAATTGTAGAACCAGCAGTAATAGGCAATAATTCTCATGTGAATTTTAATGATGGGTTCTGGATACATAAACGAAAGAGAATTACCTCTGTCTGTATCAGGCGCTATTTCACAAGTGATAGTCTCATTCTTTATCTTTGGGATACGTATTTTCTCCTTATAAATTCATATAGTTCTATCCTCTGTGAACTCTTGCTCAACTCATGCTCTATGTGAGTTCTGGGCACTCTATGCCCTGATGAAATTTGAATATTGTGGATAAAGAGTGCCAGGCTGAATGAATGTCTGCAGGCCTGGCGTCTAATCCTTGCTGTGACACCAGCCAGCTGTGTGCTGCTGGCAAGTCTCAGCTTTCAAATGTCTCCATGCCCTCAAAGCTCATACTTGGGCCTGTGTGGCTGAACATCAAAGAGAGAAATTCTAGAAAATGTCAGGTAGTGCATATATATTATTCATCACATACTTTCTCATGGAAAATGTATGTGAGATACAATAAATTTCAAGGATTAAATAATATCATTCTCTGTTTTATTACTTTTTCTTTCTTTATATTTCTTCCTCTTTGTTTTACATTTCTTCCTCTTTGTTTTATATTTCTTCTTTCCTCTTGCTCTGTTTTCTCTCTCTCTCTTTTTTTTTCTCTTCTTCATGTTTATAGCCACCATTGGTCTTAATGCCTAAAAAACCTGCAATCTCTTGTCTGATCTTAATTAGAATGTACAAGACCGAGGGATTATGTATGTGTTAAACATAGATTCAATGACATCTCAGTCCAAATAATCATTTTAGAGTCTATGATAAAACCTACTTTTAAACAAAATAACTGAAAAATGTTCAAATGACTATAAGATTTCTACTTAAAATTTATCCTTTAAATAAAATACAAAAAAAAAAAAGACAGAACTTTATCACCTTACTGTCTGGATACCCTCAAATTAGCTTGTATAACACTTTTGCTTTTGAATGACTCAAAGAGGTTCTGAAGGTTTCACAGAACTTTCTTGCTCTTCTTACTTGTTGGTAAGCAAGCGGGTTCCTGCGCATGTGCCATAGTACTTATGTGTTAACCCACATACATTTATTTTCAAAGGACACATTTTTTTCAATATAGTATAATGCAAAATCATATAAATATGCTAAATGCTCTGGGCCATTAGCATTCATCTCTAAATTGCCAAGGAATTGGAGGGATTATCTTTAGCATAATGGACTCACACACCCTTGATGCATTGAGTCCTGGTAAAATTATGACTTCATGCTTGTTAAGGGATCATGGCACATTGCTCTAACATTGCCCTGACTGTCGCCCTATTCCATTGTAACGCCTAGTTACAACTGATGGTGTGAAACAAATTCCTTCCAGAAAGGATTTGTAGCTTATTTTGTTTTTGGCCCTTACATTTATTTGAATACTCTAAATTAAATGTCTGTAATTCAAAAATAGCAGGAGTATATTATAGCACAAATTTAAACAAGCATACTGATTAAAAGGATGTAAATTCCCTTTGCTTACTATTCTTCCCAGAAGCAACCCTTGTTAACAATAATGTGGGATGTACCTCTAGCCCCATAGTTCTAGTAAGAGTCGAATTTGTTTGTGCGTTTCTGGTTTTGTTATGTTTTTGATTAAGGACACCACAGAACAATTATCTTGTGGCTTACTTTGATATCTGGCAGGGAAATTACCATGTTGATACAGACTTAGTCCACTCTTTTAAACCATTGTATGATATTCCCTAGTTTGAAGATAGCAGCAACATTTTATTAACATTCCCTAATTGAAAGATATTTAGATTGTTCAGAGTTTTGTGATTACAAACAAGGCTGCAGTGAACATGTGAATACATACATCTTGGAGCACATGTGCTATTATTTCTGCAGAACAGATTATTAAAAGTAGGATTGGTTGGTCAAATCTTATGCTGGGTGAAAGGTTATCCATGCTATCAAATTATCACCCAAATATAGTGTAGCAATTAACATTGCTATCAATAAAATAACTTTTTGTGTGTAATTCACTAATAATTGATATTTTTCATTGTTTCAGTTTTTACTAATCACAGGTAAAAATGACATTTCATTTTTGTTTTAATAATGGCAACTTACGTTTTTGTACTCTTGACAGTACGCATTGCTCTTAGTATATTTTATGTATTAACTTAAAATTTGTTATACTGTAAAGCCACATGGGTCCTAATATTATCCATATTTTAGACATTAAAAAACTTGGAAGCAAGTTAAGTAATTTTCTCAGCTATCATCTCTAGAAATGGGTGAGTGGGTGTCAACCCAGGCAGCCTGACTCCAGAGCTGGTTTCATCAGCCACCTCACTGATAAACAGGAAAATTGGATTCCCATCATCATTAGTAAGAAAGTGCATCTATTTTTATAGTTTCCTCTATTAATCATCTATTCCTAGATTTTGTACACTTCTTTTTACTATTAGATTACCCTTTAAGTTTTGATTTCTAACGTACTTTAATCTTCTTCATATGTAAAGCCCCTATTTTTCTTCCTTTTTCTCTTACCTTTTTCCGTGTTTATGATGACATTTGTAACCAAATTCTCGATCCTTCATTTGATGATTCCTAAATTTTATGTCTTGTGTAACAAGGATTTCCCATTCTAAGATTTTCAAACTATTCTGGGATGTTTGATTTTTAACTATCCCTTTTACATTAAATTCTTCTAATATTAATATCTGGATATTATGAATAGTAAAAACCTAACTTATTTTGTTTCCACATAGATGTTCAATTTCCCAATGCTTTTAATGTAATTTTATTGATTTCCTTGGTTTTAAATGTCACATTTATCTTATGCTACGTTGCTATATGTCCCTATGCCTATTTCTGAAGATGAAAGCAAGTGTTTTAATTACTACACTTTTTTGGAAATAACTATTGCTGTCAGTGTCCTTTTGCAAAATTTTTGTACCTATTGTTTTGCATTTTTTTCTTTAGCATTTTGCTTAGGATGAGATAGAAATACAAACTAATTGGCAGAGATTAATATTTACCACATTATAGCCAATCACTATTGACTAAGAACTGTTTTATGATTCTCAGTAGTTTCACACATTTATTCATACCTTTCAAACATTTTATTAGATTTATCCCTAGATATTTTATATCTTTCTTATATTACTGTCAGATGATTTTTCTTTATATTTTCTATTTTAGATATTGATAGTACCATTGGCTTTCAAGTCATAATTTTATATCTAGTGATCTTACTGAACCCTCTTATCAGTTCTATGAGCTTTTGGGTTGATTCTTTTGGATTCTTCTAGGTGAGAAAGCAATGATTTTTGTAAGAATTTTACTCTACTCACTTTTGGAACTTTCTACTTTGTGAAATTATTTCTCCTTAGCTTTGTATTTCTACTGTACTTCTAATAAAAATGATAAACTACAAAGTATACCATTAATATGGGATCTATGCAATTAATATGTTATCTGTGCAATGAAAATTGAGAATTTCAATAATTATCTGATGCATTTGATCAATGTATATAATTAAACTCTTTTATGCAGCTCATAATTCTTCCTTTTCAATAGATGGACTTTTAAAAAGCCCATAGGTTATGTGAATAATTCCTCAAATTCTCTGTTTTACTCTGTGGTCCTCAGCCAATTAAAAAAAATAGGAGAAAATATATTGCAAGTTACATAACATCAATATTTAGTTATTGTCTATTTTTTCTATAATTATTCATAGCCAATTCTGAATATACCACCATAGCTGCAACAAGGCAAATAAAAAAATAGCAAAGCAACCATTATTCATTAGTAAAGGCCAGAAGATGGAGCTAAACCATTGAGAGGGAGAAAGGAAGTGGGCAACAAATGAACAGCTGAAAAGGAGGCATTCGGGAAAGAGCGTGAAGCTCCCTGGAAATTAGAATTCTAATAGCTATTTAATTTCTGTGACAGAAAAACATGGAGAAAATTGGAATGAGCAGATGATAGCTAATTTCAAGGGAAAATATTAATAATGTGCTTCACCGTAAGTTATTTCAACTGCATGTGATCACGGAAAATAGGCACATATGAATTCAGTTAAAGCCATCATTTCGAAGATATCTAAATGAATGAACGTCTTGTTCTGGAGAACATATGCACTTCTGTATATAAATCACAGAGTATATTGCAGATTTGTCCATTTTAAGGTGTCTAAATTAAATGCGACTGGTGAAAATAAAGCAGGAGCAAAAATCAATACTGAATTGTGAACTACCCAGGTTGGTTGTCTGGCTTTTTCAGAGCCACTAGATAGTTGCCAAGTCCTTAAGAGATGATATCATAAAAAAAACAAGCTGGGGAGAACCAGAGCTTCTAAAACACTTTATCAATGAATCAAAGCATATGTTCTGATTTCAAACTTTTAAGAACAAAGTTAAGGCATATGTCATACTTCAATAAGGATGACAATGGATCTTTTATCAATGTGAATAATATAAAGTAAGTCAGCATCGAAGTTAGGAAAACTAAAATATGCCTGCTGGATCTATATATGAATGAAATTGCTATTCTATTCCATGAACTAGTTCCTTCTAGGGTAATCTGGATTAAAAAAAAAAAAAAAGCAGTGATGTAACCAGACAAGAATGGAGTTTTTGAATACGAATCTTGTAGAATGTCCAAGGCAACATGAATATTAATGAGGAAGAGAGAAAGTTATATTTGTGTATGTGTAAGTATACCTTTCTTTTACTCAGCACATCTCATGCTCTCAAAACATATTAAACAGCATTGGACCAAATGTAACCATATACTGATTTGATAGGATTTTGCCAAATTGTTTGCAAAATTTTATAGTACTTTCATAAAATAATATTTCCCCTAAAGTAAGTTAGTATGATGTATTATGTATTATTGCTGTATAATTGCATGACCAAAATCTACCACTTAATTGAATGAAATTTTTAAAAATGCTTTGGGAAAAAGGACAGTATGACTGATTTCTATAACCATTATTCTTTTAAGTAATAACTAAGACTTACATATAAAATTATGTGCCAGGTACTATGTAAGGTCTTACATCTATAAAGTCATTTAATGCTCCCAATAACCAATATACAGACAGGTAAGTTTCCCAAGTTAACACAGATAGTGACAGTAGGGCTGAAATTTGAACCCAGGCAGTCTAGAAGCAGCTAGAAAACGTCACAAGAAAACCTGAAAATACATTTCAATAGACAATAAAAATAAATTCCAGAGTAGTGATAGATTTTCTAAGTCAAAAAGACATTAGGGAAAAATAATCTCTCTAGCTTTTTATTTAAAATTCTTTTCTTTTATTTTTAATATATAAACTTGTAGAGTGTTTGTGTATGTGTGTCTGTGTGCTTGCATGCTACTGTATGATATGCATCCAAATAAGACAAATAATCCATCAAGAAACTTTATTAATTGATATTTATAATTTGTAAATTTAATCTTTGCTATACCTTTTCCTGTCACAAGTCACAAGAAAACAATTCGAAGTAACAAGTTAAATGAAGATAAGTATTGATATATGCCTTTCATGACACAACCAGGACTTCTTAAGAATCTTGAATTTTACCTGTACATTATCTTCTCATCTGTATTTCTACAACCTCTACAAAATAAAATGGGACACAGCAAGAACCTGCCTAATGTAATCAATGTATTTACATCAAGTATTCGCAAAGTCTTATGATTTTGATACTCTAGACAATTGTAACATGTTTTTTAAATTTCATAAATGTAACATTTGGGGGCACTGATGCACTCATGTTTACTTTCATTACTTCCAGCAATGCTCAGGTACTAAACAAAAAACATTTTTTAATTATATAAGTCCTTATGTGTTTATGTCCACATTATTCTGGAAAATTTTAAGGGACATATTGAAATTAGTTTTTTTAAAAAGAGCCCCTGTTCAGGTAGACATTTTCCCTTCACAACATTTTTTTCTAACACTTAAAACCAAACCAGTTTGATTGCAAATCAAATCTTTGCTGCCTTCTCAGCATTGGTCACAGCAGAGCTCCAATGTACTTTCTGCCACTTCTTACCCAGGTCAGCAATGAAGCTGCAGAGGAAGGTTAACGCTAAAAACAAATACATTGTTAAAAGGGAACAAATGATTTTTTAAATATTTCACCCCAAAATAAGCAAGGCTCAATTTTACTTCTGTTTCCGCTCAATGTTTCTTCCAGTTATCACTATAACATACCCCAAATATATAATCAAAATTTTAAAATATTTATTTCCTCAAAACATCCAGAAATTATACAGCATAAAGAAACATAAGACCTTATGCAAAACTACTGAATATAGAAATACACCAAAATGTCCCTAACCTCAACATTATC
This sequence comes from Homo sapiens, assembly GCF_000001405.40. NCBI lineage: Eukaryota > Metazoa > Chordata > Mammalia > Primates > Hominidae > Homo > Homo sapiens. Next base: position 157,288,745 of record NC_000004.12, on the reverse strand, counting down.
ATTGGTAGACATAACCACCTATCTGAATACAAACTACAGAGGATATTTGTCTGTTTCTAATGGCTAAATCTTCTGTAGTTCTTTTTAAATAGCCCAACTTCCCTGAATTTTGAAAGAGATTATATAAAGTATACACAAGATAATTTTGATACTCATAAAGGAAATATGTGTTGTGGTAAATAAATAAATAAATAAAGTCCAGGATTGGAGGTGGGCCATATGCTATCCACTATAGCCTTAGATAATTAGCTTAACATTTTTAGGACTCAGTGGCTTTAGTTATAAAATGCTGTGGCACACTGCCACAGCGATGTTCCAATGGAGATCGAGTAACCCGAGGCCTAAAAAAATAAAGTTAAAGACAGAATTAGATTAAAAGAGAAAAAATAATGGAGGAAGTAGAGTATCTGATACAGGGTTAGTACCTAAAAAATGTAAACTGGTTTTGGTTTTGGCTGTCGTTTTCTTGATATTGGTGCTTTGCTGCTGAGACCAGGTGACGTCAAAGATTCATTTCAATTTAGAGATTCAATTATTGGTGACTCCTTGCACCATTCAACAACATTCAAGTTTATTAGTACAAGAATTTGTGATTCTGCTTATACTAAAATTAAAAAAAAATTATACTTTGAGACATCTGAAAATATTTGTTTTTTAGTATTTCCAAACAGGGGTCCTAAAAATGTATAATACTTTATTAGGATTCTTTTCAGTATTTTTACAGCACACTAGGTTCACTTTCTTTGTGAGCAATCTGACTGGCTCAATATCTCCAAAACTCTCCTTTTTTCCTTAATGTAATATATATGCAAGACTCAGATCACAAGAAAAACACCCAAGATAATACACGGAAAACAGAAATGTTAGGCAGGACATTGAAGACTGTCTTCATGACAATTAATTTTCAGTTTTACCTAGAATCTTGAATTTTAATGGCTCATCGGAGAAAAGAGAAAGACTTTGGATACTCCCTAGTATGAGAACATAGGACAGAATTGTGAAAAGGTGGTCGGCTGGCAAGGGGATGAAATAAAAAAAAAAATCTCTTACTCGACTCTGCTCTGAGTGGAAACAAAAGTCACCTCTTGGAACTCATAACCTTAGGCCACAAAACCCACCATTTTTCAGTTTCAATTTACATAGTGGAAAACCTCAACTCTGGAAATTAATCGAAAGCAATTTTGAATTTAACTCTAATCACTAAGCAAAAGCAAATAAACACATATGCTCCCTAAACCAAAACATACCCTCCAACCAGGACACCTAGGATTCCAACAGATTAATGAGACCCAACTGTAAGCTCAAAACTTTTTTAGAAAGAAAAAACAATACATTCACACACACTCCCACACACAAAATAATGAGACAGAGATCAACAGAAATAAAAAACAGCAATATTACATTTCAGATGCACAATGTAAAATATTTTAAGTCTTTAAAGAGTAAATAAGATATTGAAAATATAAGCATTCAGTAAGGAACTATAAAGTATTCAGAGTTAAATTTGAAAGAAAAATAATCTCCAAAATAATAAATTTAACTATTAAACATAAAAATCCAATGGATTGATTTAGGAGTTATATGAGATCATCCTGGTAAATAATTATTAAAATAGATGTTTTACTGAGAATTAGTCAGAATCATCAAAGCAAGCAAAGAAATAGACAACACCAGACAACAGATTGGAGTTGTTTCCAGACAGAATAGAGAATAGGAGACAGTAATTTAAAGAGAAGGCTGAAATTTTTCTAGAATTGATCAAAAAAATATTTTAAATTTTAGAAAACACAACTCAATAAATTGACTTTCACAAAGGCTACTTCAGATACTGTTTATCCAGGAAAACAGATGAATGTGAGAGTAATCAAATAGAAAAGAAAGAACAGCTATAAAGGAATTTGAATTATAATGACAGCAGATGTGTTGACTGCCACAAAGGAAACTGGAAGACAGTAGAGTAATACCTACAAAATAAGGAGAAAATAAATTGTAACCTATAATCGTATTGATTTGTTTCCTGAAATAAAAATGCCTTCTAAAATACCAAAATCAACCACTAAAAGAATAGAAATAGTTGCACCTAAGGATAAAAATCTAACATAAATTACACATAGAAAATTACAAACTTTATTGGAAGATATTATGAAAGACAAATAAATAAACAGATTTACTATTTTCATGGATAGAAAGATGATATTATAAAGATGCCAAGTCCTCTTTAAAAGAATGTATAGTAAAAGCTAGCTCTTATTAAGCCCTAACTTTGGGCATAATACTGTTTTAACTTTTTTAACTCTCCAAAAAAAATGTCATGTAAGTGTCATAATTTGTTACTAGTTTGGGAACTAATGGATGAGGAAATAAGAGAGCCTAAATAACTTGTCCAAGATCACAGAAAAATTTGATAGACATTTTCAAATAAAAATTTGAATAGACATTTTCATGTGTGAAAAATTGTTTTTTTCCAAACATCATATTGTGCACCATAAAAATATACAATAAAAAACAAGTATTACTGGGAATAACAGCTGTATGACTTTGGGCACATTACATAATTATTTTCATCTGTAAAAATGAGATAATGATAGTTTCTACATAATAGATTCTATATGGTATATTATCTGCATGGATTAAAGGAAATGATCCTTGAAAATAATTTTTACAAAGGTTGATACATAGAAACAGTTTAATATAGCTTAGCTATTCTTGTTTTAATTTCAGAAGTATTATTAAATTAATAACACATGCAAGAGTCAGTTGGACATAGGTTTAAATCCTTATTATTATATCACCTACTAGTTGTGTATATTTGCCAAGTTACTTAATCCTCTACTCTTTACTCTCCTCAAATATAAATGTAGACATGCTCACCTATGAATTAACACAAAGCTGGAACAATAAGTGATCTATAAATTGTAGTCACTGTTATTAGTAATTATTACTATAACAAATAATGAATTGAACTTTTATAAAAAAGCAAGAGACCAAGAATAGCAGAGACACTTTCAACTATTACACCAGTACAGTACACAGAGCGTAGAAGCCAATCCACATATAAAAAATGTTTGAAATAGAGGTAGCATTGTAGCAAAGTTGAGGGAAATAGACTCTTCAGTTAGAAGCTTTTGAGGAAATTTATTAACCATAAGGAAAAAAGCCTTACACACACACACACACACACACACACAAATATTATAGGTAGGCTAAAAACTAAATCTAAAAATAAAAACTTTTTAAAGTGGAGGAAAATATAAGTCAATGTCATTGTAAATTAAATATAGGAAAAGGTAGTGTAAGCAAGACACAGGGAGCAGAAACCATAAAAAATTTATAAATTCCTCTACTTTAAAAGTTTTTATAAAAAGGTACTATAAAGAAAATATAAAGGCAAATCACAACATTAATCGAGATATCTGTATCCAATATAAGTGAAAATGAATTAGAATTGTGGTTATCTAAAGAACTATGAATCAGTACGTAAAAAACAGACAACCCAATATAAAATTAAGAATGACATGAGACATTGCATTTAAAAGGGACTCAGAAGGCTTAATTGAAAAATTAGAAGATGCTCATCTACACTATAAATCAGGGAAATGCTCATTAAGACCAATTGAGGTACCCTGCCATATCCACAAATAGGCAAAGTGAAAAGTCTGATACCAAGAATTAATAACATATAAAAACAAGATGTCATATACTGACAGTAGATATGTGAATTCATCAAACCATTTTGAAGAACAGCTGGGCAAAATCCTGTAGACTTAAAGAAGTACACACCAGCAATAATTTCATTCTCAGGCCTGTGCTCTGAAACACTTAGAAATGTATGCAAGGAGATATTTAAAAGAATATTCATGGCTGCATTGCTTGTACTACCAAAACACCCATCCACAAACCACCAGGCACTGGAGTATATAATGAAATAATATTCGGCAGTGAAAATAATGATGTAGAACTATAAATATTAAGTGCTGAAGAATTTTAAATACATATCTTTGAGTAAGGGAAAAGCAAGTTACAGAAGATAGTCAATCTGCTTGCATAAATTTGAAAAGCTATATACTCTTTTTAGAGTAAACCATATGAGTAGTAAGAATACAGTGGAATTTGTAGAAAAGATACACATCAAATATGAGATATGAGTTACATGGAGGGCATACAATAGTGGAAGGAACTCAAGACATCTCAATTGTATTGGTAATGTTTTATGTCTTGAACTGGGTGCCGCATTATCAGGATGTTTGCTTTAATATGCTGTATAACTGTGTGTAGGTCTGACATATTTAATAAAATGATTTGAATGAATAATGGATGCTTTGGAGAGCAGGGCATATGAAAACCTGATTAAAGTCATTAAGGATGAGATGAAGAACAGAAAATACAGCACATCCAATGTAAGTCCACAAAAGTCTCAGCATGGAAAGTTTAATGCCACTTGCAGTGTCCTAATTAGCTTTTTTTTTAAGTTCTCAATAAAGTAACAACCAAGCTGTGTTAAGAAATAAATGCTGACTACTTAATTAGTCCACTAGCTGACCCAGTTCCCCCTCTCACACAACTTCAACTTATTTCAAACTTGGGCTTCAGAAGAATTATAAATTGCATCTCATTAAGTTTCTTCTGGGTCACGCCACTTACAAATAGTTGAAACAATAAATGTCAAAGTGCTATTGTGTTACAGAAACCTGAGATCTACTTCTCTTCAGATATCTGTTTTCTACTAAATATGAATTTACTATATTAATGCTGCAATATTAAAAACCTCTCTAACATTATCCTAGCCTGGATATTAATCTCAAAAAGCAGGTCATTAACTAGTCATTTATTACAACTCTAAACCTTTACCTTTGGGAAAGACATCATATCTAATATCTCTTTCATCTTATAGCATAATCACAAGGTAATAAAATAAATCTTATCTCTATTTTACCAATGAAGATTTGGCTAATTTTCTCTAAAGATTACTAGTGAGTGTCTTAATTTACTTCAGGAAAGACATTAATTTCTAACAACTTTCAAAATCACAGGTTAAAAGTGAAAAACACAAAGGAAAATTAGATTACAGAATTGCAAATATTAAAATATGATAAATAGAATTAAAGCCACTAAAAGGTTTATTTCCATATCCAAACTGACAAAGATGTAATACACATATCCACTGTTTATATAAGGCCAGTGATTCTGATGAATTTTTGCACTGAAGAAATTGTTTTTGCTCATTAAGGGTTTATTTAATTTAATTAAGCTAAGTAAGCATTACTATATTTATAATTCCTACATTATAAGTAATTTAATACTTAGAAATATCACATTAATTATGGTAATTTCCTTTGTGGGTCTTCCTCACACTCATTATGGATCTAATATTTTCAGCCTCAGATTATTCAGCTAGGAGATACGCCCCTTCTGGAAAGATAGAATACCACCTCCTCTTTCAGACATGACTTTGCATTGGTCTGCAAAGTCCGACAATCTCAAACTTTATTTTGCTAACTGGGGTCACTATATTAATAATACAGAAGCCAAATTAAATCAACATAGCATTCTCTTTGAGAGGCTCTTACAGTGTAACTTGAGGGAGATTCTGGAAAGCTTTTATATATGGAAAAGCTTTTACATATGAAAAAATATAATAGGAAAGTTTAGAAAAGCATTTATATTTGAAAAAATATCATCTAGAGGTAGATATTTCAATAGTCTAAAACCTCACATTTCAAAAATAAAATCCGTTTTAAAACACTGATTTTTCCACCATATTTCCCTGACATATATTTGAGGTTGTAAAAAGAGCATCTTAAATGTATCTAGGCAAACTCTATGTCAGTGAATAAAGTAGGTGACCCAGTTTGTTTCATTATATTTTTGTGAAATCAGTGCATTCTTTTGGATGTCGGCTCATACATATTTTCTGGGCTCAGGCCAACGATAGTGATTGGTAAACATTGCCAGAAATAGACCTGAGTGATGTTCCTACACAGGCATATGGAGGGATGGTAATTGTATTATTTTGTTTGGGATTTTCATAAATCTTTAACAATATATTTTCTGGCTGAAGCAAAATCTACCAGAAACAAAATTAGTACTACCAAACTGGCACAGGATAAAGCTATCTCCTTCTCATCCCTCCTTGATCCAAAGTGTGAACTCCTGAAATCTATTTTTGTCTCCGTCTGCCTCATCCTTACTCCTCTTAACCCCATATCATCCTTCTACCAGGTCTTCGGAAATCCATGTCAACAATCCCCCACACTATTTTCTTCATTCTTAAACTTTTCCCAAATTCTTATTGCCCAATCTTTATAATTCCTCAAAACTGTCTTCCTTCTAAAGACTCTCCTTTTCTAGAATCTTCTTTTAAGACTCCTACTTCTTACTACTTAATAGAAAGGGTACCTGTTGACATAGGTCATATGGTAGATTGTTCCACTCATGTCCCGTAATAAATCACACCTCCCAATACCCACATTCTTGCCTACTTGCCTTCTGCATTGGCTCTGGGTTCGGCCATGTGATTGGCTGTTCTAACCATGTGGTACTGACTTTGGGACCGCACAATGGACAGAGGATAAAAAATCATCACAGAGACTATTAGTAAAGCTTAGAAGAATGGCAGATAAACAGTTAACAGAAGCCAAAATGGCAGTAGAAAACTGCTATTGGACACAGCAAAAATGGAAGCTCATGTGTTGTGTTAGTGAAAACATTGGCATAACTGTCACCTGTAACAAACTGGAAGATTGGAAATGTACTTAGTGAACCTGTGAATCTGGCTGAGGACATTTTGAGACAGCATGCTAAAGTGTCAGTTTGTATCTTTTAGATGCTTATGAGAAGGTACAAGAAAGAAATGAGCTAAAGAGAGACCTGTTCAATTTGCAAGTAGAATTTAGAGGATACATAAAAAAGCTAGGACGTGCTGGTTTGGAAGATTTAGTGTTTCACATTTTCAGTATCTCCACCTGGCACAGTTAAGAAATGGCTTCAGGGTAAAGACTGAATCAAAGTTGTTTCTACAGAACCCTTTGTTAAGACCTTGGGAAGATGTGAGGCTTTGCCTAAGGAGACCCACACAATTAGACAAAAAAAAGAGAGAGTTTTACAAAATATATTTTACAAAATATATTACAAAATAATATTTACAAAATATTAAGGGTATTGTCACAGAGAACTTCTTAGAAAGCAGAAGATTCTCTTGAAAAACTTTTGGATATGGCTTTGGGAACATGGAATGAGCCCCAAATAAAACCATTAAAAAGTCTACAAAAGTTTTAGGGTAGTTAAATCTGCTAGAACTAAAATGCATACAAATAGTTCAAAATGATTTTTTATGGGAAATAAACAGGCTGAGAAAGCTACTCACTGAAAATATGGACCAGCTCTTACTAAAAAGAAATGACAGATCCGAGTACCCAAAAAACAGGACCAAGTGGAGCAGAGAGCAATGAATTAGGGAAACTTCTAGGAAGTATGATATGTTAGTAATTAGTAATACCAATTAATGAACATTCTCTAACTCTGGCGCATACAATGGACAGATTTCAGTAGTGCTGTGGGCCAGTGAATTCTATGTGCCTCCTGTTTCTGTTATTAAATTATTGAATTGAATTGTTGAGGTTATTCTGTGCCTTTCACCTATTTACATTGGGTATTGTACACAGGGGAGCATGGAAAAACTGTTATTTTTTATTTCACAGTTCTCTGGATAAGGAGGAGCTTTACCCATAAAGCTTTGCATGCAGTCCATGATGAGATCATGGACTTTGAGACTGTTAATTGAATGAGATTTTAAGGGTGTTGGCAGCAGGGATGGAGTGTGTGTAATATGTGTATCTTTACCTGAATCATCAGGGCCAGAGGACAGACCACAATAGACTGTTACTAAATAGTTCAGAATAAATCATGACTCCTGTTATTTATGCCTGCATGTAATTCCCTCCTTGATTCAAGTTACGACTGTGTGACTTAATTTGAGCAATGGGACATAAGCAAATGTAATACAAGCAGAGGAATGATAAGCACTTGTGCACTGGGGCTTCCTCTCTTAGAACACTGTTCTAAGACTGTCTGTGAAGTCGAGTCTAGCCTTCTTGGGAAACACGTATACATGCACGCACACACGAGAGAGACCCAACCATCCCAGCTCCCAGCTGACTCACTAACAGAATGCAGACCCCTAAGTGAACCTAAGAAACACTAGTTGAAGAAACTCACAACTTACCACACAATCATGAGAAATCAAATAGCTGTTTAAAGCCATAAAGTTTTAGGAAAAAAGAGTATGTGCAGTAATATATAATTAATACAACTACCTTTTTCCTATCACTATTACTTACAGTCTAAGATCTTCCAAGACACTCAGAAGTCCACCTGATGATTGTTGCACTGGGCACTAACTCTCTACTTGCTTGTTCTATTTTCATTCTAAGGGATTTCAACAAGCTCACTTTTCCTGTGACTCTTCAACTCTCAAGCATCACAGTTCCTTGACATTTCATTAATAAGGGTATTCGTCTTCCAAATATTTTGCTACTTATAAGTATGGTTGTATCTTTAGCCAAATGACAAGACAAATATTGTACTTATTTATGTGAGTCATACTTGTTTTTGTTTGTTTGTTTGAGCCAAAGTCTCACTCTGTAACCCAGGCTGGAGTGCAGTGGCGTGATCTCGGCTTATGGCAACCTCTGCCTCCCAGGTTCAAGCAATTCTTCTGTCTCAGCCTCCCCAGTATCTGGGACTACAGGTGCACACCACCATGCCCGGCTGATTTTTGTATTTTTAGTAGAGACGGGGTTTTACCATATTGGTCAGGCTGGTCTTGAACTCCTGACCTCAGGTGATCCACCCGCCTTGGCCTCCCAAAGTGCTGAGATTACAGGGGTGAGCCACCACGCCCAGGCGAGTCATATGTTTTTAATAATAGAAGAGATTATTCCAACAAGAAACAAAATAAAAATGATGATACAAGGCATCAGATGCCTTCTAGGGATATCACTATTCTATTCCTAAATACATTGATAATTATGTTATAAAAGAAAGGTGTTAGGGTGAATAAACATTGGATTAAAAATCTAGCCTTAACTACCTGGGTAAATTTCAATTATCTTATGTATAAATAGTGAAAAAATAGAGGCACTCATCAAGAAATTGCTAATAATACTATGCATATTATTAGTTCTTTACTGTGGACATCCCACATCAGAGTAGTATTACATTTGTTACAATTAATGAATCTACATTGAAACATAATATCACCCAACTTCCCCAAAAATTCTCTGTACTTTGCCTATTCATCCTTCCCTCCTTCAGCCTCTGACAATTACTGATTTTTCTACTGTCTTCCTAGTTTTTCCTTTTCCAGAATGTCACATAATTGGAATCACACAGAATGTAGCCTTTTCAAATTGTTTTGTTCACTTAGTAATATACAATAAAGTTTCTTCCATGTCTTTTCATGGCTTGATAGTTCTTTTTAGTGATGAACAATATTCCATTGTCTGGATGTACCACAGTATCCATTCACCTACTGAAGGACATCTTGGTTGTTTCCAAGTTTTGGCAATTAGGAATAAAACTTCTATAAATACCCAAGTACAGGTTTTTGTATGGACATATTTTCAAATCATTTGGATAAATACCAAGGAGCATGATTGCTGGATCATATGATAAAAGTATGTTTAGTTATCCAAGAAACTGCCAAATTGTTTTCCAAATTGGCTGTACCATTTTGCACTACCACCAACAATAAATGGGAGTTTCTATTGCATCATATCCTCACCAGCATTTGGTGTTGTCAGTGTTCTGGATATTAGACATCCTAATAAGCATGTAGTGGTATCTTATTGTGGAAATATGATGTGGAAAGTCTTTTTATATGCTTATTTGCAGTATATCTTCAGTATATCTTCTTCAATGAGATGTGTGTTCAAGTCTTTTGTCTATTTTTTTTTATTCAGGTTATTCATTTCCTTATTGTTGAGTTTTATGAGTTCTTTGCATATTTTAGATAAAAGCCTTTATTAGATATGTCTTTTATAAAAATATTTTCTCAAATTCTGTGGTTTGTCCTCTCATTCTCCTGACTGCATCTCACAGAGCAGAAGATAATTTTAATGAAATCCAGCTCAGTAAGTATTTCTTTCATAGACTGTGCCTTTGGTGTTCTATCCTAAAAGTAATCAACATGCCCAAAACCATGTAGATTTTCTAATATGTTACTGTCTAGGAATTTATAGTTTTGTGCTTTACATTTAGTCCTATGCTCCCTTTTGAGTTAATTTGTATAAAAGGCATAAGATATGTGTCACAGGTTCTTTTTTTGTTTTTGAATATTCCGTTGTTCCTGCACCATGTATTAAAAAGACTACCTTTGCCCATTGTATTGTCTTTGTTTCTTTGTCATAATCAGTTGACTATACTTATATGAGTCTATTGCTGGGCTCTCTATTCTGTTCCAATAATCTATTTGTCTACTGTTTTACCAATATCACTCTGTCTTGATTACTGTAACTTTGTAGTAAGGTAGTCTTAAAGTCAGTTGGTATGAGTCCTCTGACTTTGTTCATCTTCTTTAATATTGTGTTGGCAATTCTAGGTATTCTTTTCTCTCCACATAAACTTTAAAATAAGTTTGTTAATACCTACACAATAACTGGCTGAGGTTCTGATTGAGGTTGCATTGAATCTATAAATCAAGTTGGGATGAACTGACATCTTGACAACATTGAGTCTTTCTATCCATGAATATGGAATATCTTCCCATTTATTTAGTTCTTTGATTTCTTTTATCAGTGCTTTGTACTTTTCCTCACATATATATATACATATATATACATATATACATATATATATACATATATACATATATATACATATATACATATATATACATATATACATATATATATACATATATACATATATATATAGCATACATATTTTATTATATTCATACCTTAGTATTTCATTTCGTGGGGGGTTGTATTTTTAATTGCAAATTCTTCTGGTTCAATGTTGTTGTATAGAAAAGCAACTGACTTTTGTATATTCACCTTGAATCCTGCAACCTTGCCATAATTATTTATTAGTTCCAGGAGTTTATTTTGTCAGGTCATACAGATTTTCTACACAGACAATTATCTGCAAACAAAGATAGTTTTATTTCTTCCTTCCCAATCTGTATAACTTAATTTCCATTTCTTGTATTATTACATTAGCTAAGAATTCCACTATTATGTTGAAAAGAAGTGGTGAAAGAGAACATCCTTGCTTTGTTCCTGATCTTAGCAATAAAGCTTCTAGTTTCTCACAATAAGTATGGCATTAGCTACAGATGTTTTGTAGACATTCTTTATCCACTGAGGATGTTTCTCCTAACTTGAATTTGCTGATAATCATTATCATGAATGAATGCTGAATTTTGTCAAATGCTTTTTCTGCATATGATATGATTATGCGATCTTTCTTTTTTAGTTTGTTGATGTGATAGATTACATTAATTGATTTTTGAATGCTGAACTATCCTTGCCACTTGAAACAAATCTCACAGCTGTGGTGTGTAATTATTTTTATACATTATTGGGTTTCATTTGCTAATATTTTGTTAATTATTTTTGTGTCTATGTTCATGAGAGATATTGATCTGTAGTTTTCTGGTTTGTATAATGTCTTTTTGCTTTTAGTAATAGGGTAATGTTGCTTATAAAAAGACCTGAAAAATACTCCCTTGGCTTCTATTGTAAATTGGCATATCTTCCTTAAATATTTGGTAGAATTCACCAGTAAACTTATCTGGGCCTGGTGCTTTCTTTTTCAGAAAATTATTAATTATTGACTTAATTTCTTTAATAGACATAGGTTTATTCAATTGTCTATTTCTTTATTTGTGAGTTTAGGCAAATTGTATTTTCCAAGGAATTTACATTGGAATTTACATTATAATTCCATTTAATATAGTATGTCAAATTCGTGGATGCAGAGTTATTCATTGTATGACTCTATTTTTAATCTTTTTCATCTCCATGAGATCTGTAGTGGTAGTGCCTCTTTCATTTTTTATATTAGCATTTTGTATCATCTATCTTTTTTTCTCAGTTAACCTGTCTAGAAGCTGATTGATATTACTGATCTTTAAAAAATTAAAAAAACACCTTTTGGTTTCATTGATTTTCTCACTCTTGATTTTCTGTTTTCAATTTCATTTCTTTCTGCTCCATTTTTTATTATTATTTTCTCCTGCTTACATCAGTTTTATTTGCTCTTCATTATCCAGTTTCCTAAAGTAGAAATTTGGAGTATTGATTTTACTTTTTTCTTCTTTTCTAACATGTGTATTCAATGTTATAAATTTCCCTCCAAGCACTTCTTTTGCTGCATCCAGAAATTTTGATTAGTTGCATTTTCATTTTCAAAATATTTTAAAATTTATGTTGAGATTTCTTCTTTGACCCATGTATTATTTAGAAGTGTGTTGTTTAATATACAACTATTTGGGGATTTTCCAGCTATCTTTCTGTTATTGGTTTTTACTTTAATTCCATTGTGGAATCACAAGCATTCTTATACACCAATAACAGACAAACAGAGAGCCAAATCATGAGTGAACTCCCATTTACAATTGCTTCAAAGAGAATAAAATACCTAGGAATCCAATTTACAAGGGACGTGAAGGACCTCTTCAAGGAGAACTACAAACCACTGCTCAATGAAATAAAAGAGGATACAAACAAATGGAAGAACATTCCATGCTCATGGGTTGGAAGAATCAATGTAGTGAAAATGGCCATACTGCCCAAGGTAATTAATAGATTCAATGCCATCCCCATCAAACTAACAATGACTTTCTTCACAGGAAAAAACTACTTTAAAGTTCATATGGAACCAAAAAAGAGCCCACATCGCCAAGTCAATCCTAAGCCAAAAGAAAAAAGCTGGAGGCATCACGCTACCTGACTTCAAACTATACTACAAGGCTACAGTAACAAAAACAGCATGGTACTGGTACCAAAAGAGAGATATAGACGAATGGAACAGAACAAAGCCCTCAGAAATAATGCCACATATCTACAACTATCTGATCTTTGACAAGCCTGACAAAAACAAGAAATGGGGAACGGATTCCCTATGTAATAAATGGTGCTGGGAAAACTGACTAGCCATATGTAAAAAGCTGAAACTGGATCCCTTCCTTACACCTTATACAAAAATTAATTCAAGATGGATTAAAGACTTACATGTTAGACCTAAAACCGTAAAAACTCTAGAAGAAAACCTAGGCAATACCATTCAGGTCATAGGCATGGGCAAGGACTTCATGACTAAAACACCAAAAGCAATGGCAACAAAAGCCAAAATTGACAAATGGGATCTAATTAAACTAAAGAGCTTCTGCACAGCAAAAGAAACCACCATCACGGTGAACAGGCAGCCTACAGAATGGGAGAAAATTTTTGCAACCTACTCATCTGACAAAGGGCTAATATCCAGAATCTACAATGAACTCAAACAAATTTACAAGAAAAAAACAAACAAACTCATCAAAAAGTGGGCGAAGGATATGAACAGACACTTCTCAAAAGAAGACATTTATGCAGGCAAAAAACACATGAAAAAATGCTCATCATCACTGGCCATCAGAGAAATGCAAATCAAAACCACAATGAGATACCATCTCACACCAGTTAGAATGGCAATCATTAAAAAGTCAGGAAACAACAGGCGCTGGAGAGGATGTGGAGAAATAGGAACACTTTTACACTGTTGGTGGGACTGTAAACTAGTTCAACCATTGTGGAAGTCGATGTGGCCATTCCTCAGGGATCTAGAACTAGAAATACCATTTGACCCAGCCATCCCATTACTGGGTATATACCCAAAGGATTATAAATCATGCTGCTATAAAGACACATGCATACGTATGTTTATTGCAGCACTATTCACAATAGCAAAGACTTGGAACCAACCCAAATGTCCAACAATGATAGACTGGATTAAGAAAATGTGGCACATATAAACCGTGGAATACTATGCAGCCTTAAAAAATGATGAGTTCATGTCCTTTGTAGGGACATGGATGAAGCTGGAAACCACCATTCTCAGCAAACTATCGCAAGGACAAAAAGCCAAACACCGCATGTTCTCACTCATAGGTGGGAATTGAACAATGAGAACACATGGAACCAGGAAGGGGAACATCACACACCGGGGCCTGTTGTGGGGTGGGGGGAGGGGGGATGGATAGCATTAGGAGATACACCTAATGCTAAATGACAAGTTAATGGGTGCAGCACACCAACGTGGCACATGTATACATATGTAACAAACCTGCACATTGTGCACATGTACCCTAAAACTTAAAGTATAATAATTAAAAAAAAAGAAAAAAGAAATAAAAGGTATCCAAATTGGAAAAAAAATAAAATATTTTATTTATCTTCATTATTCCTTCTGCAATGGAATTCCTTTCTTTATGTAAATCTGCATATCTGACCTATATAATTTTCTTTCTTGATGAGGAACTTCTTTAGCATTTCTTGCAAGGTAGGTCTACCGGCAAAAAATTCCCTCAGGTTTTGTTTGTCTGGGAAAATATGTATTTCCTCTTCACTACTAAATGATAATTTGGCAGAATACATAAATCTACACTAGTGGTTTTGTTTCTCTCAACACTTCAACTATTTTACTCCACTCTCCTCTTGTTTACATGGTTTCTGAGGGTAAGTCAGATATAATTCTTTTATTTACTCTTCTATAGGTGAGATATTTTTCCCATGTATGTTTATTTACATATCTTTTACTTATCTCTGATTATCTGCAGTTTAAATATGTAGATAGGTATGGGGTTTTATGGCATTTATTTTGTGTGGTGTTCTTTGAGATATCTGGATGTGTAGTCTAATGTCTGACACTAACTGTTGAAATTCTCAGTCATTATTAGTTCTGTTCTTTTCTTTATTTTCCTTGTGATATTCCCATTATGTGTATGTATGTTACACTGTTTGTAGTTGTCCCATAGTTCTTGGCTATTCTGTTTTACTTTTCCAATCTTTTTTTCTCTCTGTTTTTTAGTTTTGAAAGTGTCTGTTGACATAACCTTAAGTTCAGATATTCTTTCCTCAGTCATTCCAGTCTATTAACAAGCCTTTCAAGGTATTCTTTATTTCTCTTACAGTGTTTTTGACCTCTAGTATTTCTTTTTTATTCTTTCTTAGAATTTCTATCTATGCTTACGTTATACATCTATAACTGCATACTGTTTACTTTTGCCATTGAAGCCCTTAGCATATTAATCATTGATGTTTTAAATTCATCATCCAATAATTCCAACATTCTTTCCATATCTGACTCTGGTTCTGATGCTTGTTCTGTCTGTTTCAGCTGTTTTCTGCCTTTAGTATCCCTCGTATTTTTCTGGACATGATGTACTGGGTAAAAGGAACCACCGTAAATATAGTTCTCCATTGGTGCCTGCAGGGAGTTGACTCCAGGACCCCAAGGAGATACCAAAATATGTGGATGCTCTAGTGCATTATATAAAATGGTGTAACATTTGCAAATAATCTGTACACATCCTCCTATATACTTTAAATAATCTCTAGGTTACTTATAATAACTAATATAATAAAAATGCTATGTAAATATTTCTTATAGTATATTTTTATTTGTATCATTTTTATTGTTGTATTGTTGGTTTCTCTCTTTTTTATTTGTCAAAAGGTTTTTGATCTGTAGTTGGTTGAATCCATGGATGTGGAACCCTTGGATATGATGGGTTTACTACAGACTTTCTGTGATATGGTGGTAAGATGTGGGGAAAAGGAAAGTGTTCTATAACCCTATGCTTAGATCTCCATCTTTTAGTGAGCCTGTTCCCATTAGCCATGAACTTCACATGTGCCTTTCCATTATTTTCCCTGATCTTAAATGAGACAGAATGTTTGGCAGAGGCCAGTGTTGAGTATTTCCCCTTCTCTAGGTCAGCTGGGCTCTGAGAAACCCCCAAAAGATCAGGCTTTGGTGAAGTAGTTTCTCTTAAGGGCAGGCTTTGGTTAAGATGAACAGAATGCTCTGGCGTATTTTTAAATAGCCATTTTCCCCTCTCCCTGCCAGAAGCACAAGAGGATTTTTCTCTGATATTCACTGTGAGAATCTGGTAGAACTCTAGAAGGTGAAACACATTAAAGTGATGAAGGGAGTGAGCAATGACTGGGTCTCCCTGGAGTTTTTAACTCAAAGATTTATCCACACTGAGCCTGCAACAATTTTTCAATTACAGTCCAGGTTTTCCTACTTCTTCCTGTGGAGGTTTCTCCTTAGGAGTTTCTGCTCCAGTTGGTTGGGATTCTCTGATGTATCTGCCTGTGTGTCTCTCCAGTTTTAGGGGTGGCAAATTGCCCTGTGACTTCGCATCTGTGTTAGATCAAGAAAAGGTGTTGATTTTTGTCTGTTCAGATTTTTACTTAGTTTAATGGAGTGGCAAATTCTAAGGTCCTTACAGACCAGTCTGGAAACGAGAAGTCCTGCTATTTGATTGTGGTCAGTCATTTGCCTTCCCTTTACCATGCTGATTCCTTATTTGCAAATAACATTACCTACTTCATAGGGTTGCTTTGAAATCCAAGATAATCTAAATATATTGAAAATAACAAAAAGCTATTTTAAAAAACAAACAACTCACAGCTGGTTGATCTACAATGTTATCAGAGTTTATTGAATTTTTCTTAATCTATGCGTGTTTACTTTGCAGAAAAATGTAGAAAAAATACATTTTCCGAAAGTCCTTTTTTCCAGTTCTAAAAGGCATTCTTTGCAGGAATAAAGCACAGAAAGTACGATACTGTGAAATATACATTTGGTCTTCAACCCTGTTTCTTGACAAACAACTCCTAAAAATCCTTAGAAACTTCAAAGTGATGTCTTTCTATAGGCAAATGAGTTGACAGATAGCTGGCAACCCAAGGTAGCTTCAGGACAGAGGCTAATTGCCTGAAAAAACAAGGCCTGTAGAGGGTTGTTGCTTTTAACTCCACCCACAACCTCCAGGGAGGGCAGAGAGGCTGAAGACTAAGTCGATCACCAATGACCAGTGGTTTAACCAATCATGCCAATGTGATGAATCCTCCATAAAAATTCAAAAGGACAGAGTTTGGAGAACTTCTAGATAGTGGAATATGTGGAGGTTTCTGGAGGGTGGAGCAGCCTCCCATACCTCACCCTATGTGTCTCTTCATATTTATCTTGTGTAATATCCTTTATAATAAACCTGTAAATGTAAGTGTTTCCCTGAGTTCTGTGACCTGCTTAAGCAAATTAATCAAACCCAAAAAGAGTATCATGGGAACCCTGATTTATAGCCTCCAAAGCACAGCTAAAACAACCTGTGGCTTGTGGTTAGCATCTGAAGGCAGCAGCAGGGAGGGGAACATTCTTGGGGACTGAGCCTTCAACCACTGGGATCTGATGCTATCTCAGGGTAGACTGTGTCAGAATTAAATTGGAGGACACCTACCTGGTGTCTGCTACAGAAATTACTACTTGCTTGGTGTGTAGGGAAACCCCACATATATAGGGTCATAGAAGACTTCCGAGTTGATTGTTGTTGAGTAAAAAAACAGAAAAAGTGCTTTAATTGTGCATGAGTTTTTTCTTCTCTTAATACGCTACTAGTATGAACCAGTAATAATCTATATTCTAATATGGTTAGTTATCATCCAAATGAATCAAATATTTCCTTTTCTGAACTTTGCTTAATATTGAAAGATTTAAACAAACTCATAGAAATAAACAGCTCATTAAAAATGTACAATGCAAAAAAAAAAACAAATTGTAGTTCCAATAATGTACAATATTTTTTTAACCCAGCAACTGAATTGAGAGTCTTTCTATTCCCCACACATTCAACTTCTCACTACACTACAGACGGCCTCCTCCTCCCTCTCCAAGATTAACCTCAATGCTTCGCTTCTCTTCTGAACGTCTTCCTGACATCCAATCTGGGCCCAATGTTCCCAGCACTGCCGTAATACTTTGTGTAATCCTTCACCATAAGGGTGCACACAAGGTGTCATAGTCTTACAATCAGTTCGCTTGTGTGTTTTTTCCAGCCAGAGTATGAGTTGGAGTTAAAGACTGTATATTTCACTTTTCCATCAACTGGGAGCACAGAAAATGGTCTAGAATAGTGGTCAGAAAAGATTTAAAGTCTTAAATATGTGAATAAAATAATGAGCTGTTTGCTCATAAATATAATTTGTTTGGTGATATTTAAGTTATTTTAATAATCAAGGAAAATACGACTCAACCTCTGACACATTTTAACTATTCAACAATTTCTACCACAAATTGAACACTTTGAGTTCTCTGCCAAAAGGAAACCTGAAAGCACAAGCTGTGGAGGCTGCCAGGTGGTATGCTCTCAGCATGAGCCAATACCTTGAAGTGAATGGCCTACTGCCTTTTAGAGTGCCAGGACTTCCAGGTGTCATTACACGGAACACACACCAACTTTCTGGAAAGGCACAAGGCAGTGGAAGAATGGAAGCACTTGAAGTCTCCTCTGCCACATAAAGCTCCAACCCTCATTCAAAAAACTGAATATCACATATGAAATTAAAAGTTATACAAATTTGAGGAGCATCATTTGAATTAATTATGAAAACAGTTTATACTTACAAAGGGAATCTTCTCAAAATCACTTTAAATAGAGCCTCTTAAGAAGTCACTTTTAATGGAAAAAGTCAGATATTAATAGAAGGCAGTTATGAATTATTAAAGATAGAAAAATCCGAGTTTATTTATAAAAAGACTGATGGGCCCACTTTTCAAGGTACTTATATATGAGCATAAAAGAAAGCTCAAAAGTATATCATTCAGTCTCTGTCTTAGTAAAAAAGATACCTAAACAGATAAAGGCTGTAGATACCGAATAAAAATCATTTTAAAATAAGTAAAATTTAACAGACACATTTAAATTTATATTTCAAAATAGTTAAGGAGTCCATAACTGTCTTCCAAAAATGAAATTTCAAATAATTCTTGATTTAACATCTAAAGGATAATATATTTGTTAAATGATGAAACACCTAGGCTTGTATAATCTACTATTAAGAAAAGAAAAGATATCAGTTGAAAGCTCATGTCATGCCTCTTAGGAAGCTGCAGTGGTGATGATGATGAACAGTTCAGGCCAGTCAAGAGTCTAGAACTCTGCTATTACTTCATCTCTTAGTTCCCTTTGAGATCTTGGCCAAGTTACCTACCTAAGCTTTCAGAGGTACGTTTACTAATTTATAAAATGAGCAAATGTTACTAGACAATTTCTTAGTTTTATTAAGCTCTAACACTCAAATTAAATGATTATTTCTCAGAACCGTTTTGGGGAGCAAGAAAACACAGGACTTTATTAACAACTATGATAATTTCTATCTACCTAGACCATAGGTAGGTCATTCCAGTGTTTTCGGGTTTCATCTTTCTCTTTCCTCCAAGAAGGACACCTAATTTTGACCTTTCTTGGTTCTAAAAATGATTTTCCATGTCTTCCACAATTTTTTTCATCTTCTTTTCCATGTGGCATCAAATAGCATGAGAGTTATTAATTAAAGGAGGGGTGAGGAGAGTATAAAAAACAACTGTCCCAATTGAACCTCCCATACTACCACTATCTGCACTAAGCTATAGCCTATATTATATGTGTGTACTTGTATGTGTGTGTAAGTATACATAACACATAATTTCTATGTATGCATGTGTGTTTATGCATGTACATGGTAGGTGGGTTTCACATGGAACACTTTTACTTTTCTAATTCTCTCCAACCCATGCCCATACCATTTGCTAAATTCAAAAAGAGAAAAGGTCTATTTATGTGACTTCCAGACAATTTCCTTCCTTTCTTGGTTTTTAAATTCTTTCTATTTTTTCATAAATCATCATCAAGAAAAGATAACTTATATCCTAAGAAAAAAAGCATTCCCTGAATTTAAAGTTGAATAATTTACTCAGATGGAATAAAATTAAATTAAATAAATAATAAGTAGGATCTACTAGATTAAGAAACCAATACAAATAAATTATATTTTTAGAAAAGGAATTTTTTGGAGTATACTACCTTTCCTTAGTTATTTATATACAAGTATGCAGCTCAGTTTGAAACTGCTTTAAATATTTAAAATGTCATTGCAACAGAACTAATAATACAGTATCTTGGTATAACAGCAACAATAAAGACAAATTCTTTATGTATGTTAATACACATATTTTTCATTAAAATATTTTGAGGTATGTACTATTATTTTTCACTATAAGAAAACTGAGACGACAAAATTAAATAATTTGCTCAAGGACACACATTTAGGTAAGCCACAGAACTAATATTCTAATTTAGACAGTGAGCTTACTTATTTCAATAATATTTGATACTATTAACTTCTAGAACATGAAAACATAAAGCACCAGTCCCATACTAGAAACACCAAGATTCCCTTGGGCATATGTAACTTGTTATCTGTGTCATGTAAGACAATTTTATGAAAACAAATGAAGTCATTTTCCAAACATTCAGTATAACCTTGAATAACTCAAATACTATTAAAGACCTGTCTCGTTTATGAATCCCCTTGGATCTGTTTGTATTTTTCTATGCCCCACCTCTTTAGTTAATATTTCATAAATTTAAAATCGACTATTTAAAGGAACATTTCATTTGATTGCCCTAAATCTCTCTTTCTTGTCATTCAGTGTGTGTCCTCTAATTATAGCATTATAAAATTTGTTGGATAAGTTCTTGTTTATTATCTTCCAAACCTTATAAACTTTGATCATCTCTCCTTTCAACACTTCAACTTTTCATACAAAGAGTTCCTTTAAATGCATTACATAAAAAATTCAAGAGTTGAGATTGTTTCAATTTCAGTCCTAAAATTTCAAAGAAATCCAGAAACTTGTTACTCAGCCATGTCAAGAAGAATTCAAAAAAACTGCTCCTAATGTTAAAAATTTCTGATTCCATAGTCTCTATTCTTACAAGTGACAGTGCAAAAAATTCCCAAGGACAAATAAACTATGCCATTTCTTAATTCAAAAGTTCCAAGAAAAAACAAACAAACAACAACAATAAACTAACCACTCACATACATGCCACGTCACAGACATGGTCATATTTTTAAATTTTAACATACAGGCAAAATGTTTAATGTTAACTAGAAAATTGTCAATAACAGCAGCAGGATGATAGGTCTTTAATAACAAAAATGTTAGCAGAAACTCCTTACAGTGTTTAGCAATTTTGCTTTTCATATCCCTCCCACATTAAAGATTCAAAGTTTTTTAACTTTTTTTTTTTTTTTTTTTTTTGAGATGGAGTCTCACTCTGTCACCCAGGCTGGAGTGCAGTGGTGTGATCTCAGCTCACTGTAACCTCAGCCTCCTGAGTAGCTGGGACTACAGGCATGCACCACTATGCCTGGTTAATTTTTGTATATTTAGTAGAGACGAGGTTTCACCATATTGGCCAGGCTGGTCTCAAACTCCTGACCTCATGATCCGCCTGCCTCAGCCTCCCAAAGTGCTGGGATTACTGGCATGAGCCACCGTGCCCAGCCCAACATTTTTTTTTAACACAAAGCTAGCATCCTTTTTTTCCTAGATTCTCAAAATTTCCTTTCTTCCTTTTTTTCTTTTTTTAAATTGCTCAGGTTTGAGTGCAGTGACACAATCACAGCTCACTGTAACCTCGAAATCCTGGGCTCAAGTGATCCTTCTGCCTACGTCTCTCAAATAGCTGAGCCTACTCGAGTAGCTGAACCTACAGGCACACACCACCACACTCAGCTAATTGTTAAATATTTTTGTAGAGACAGAGTCTCACTCTGCTGCCCAGACTCATCTCGAACTCCTGGCCTCAAGCAATCCGCCAACTTCAAAGTTCTGGGATTACAGGCATGAGCCACTGCAACTGGCCATTTCCTTTATTTTTTAACTGATTCCTTCTCTTGTTCGAGTCTCTCAAAAGATAGAACAACCTTGCTGAACACCTCATTCTCTACTCCTTCTCTCCTCTCTGCAGCCAAACATCTCCAGATAAGTCCATGGCCCACACCTGATCCCCATTTGCTCACTTTCCATCATTCATTAGCTCACTGCAACAGGCCTACCAAATTCACTCTACCAAATTCATCTGCCAAGGTCTCCGAGGACTTTTGTTTCTCTAGCTAACAAACTGACCTCTCAGCAGCATTCCACAGAGATCCTCATAACCTACTGGAAACCGCTTTTTCTTGCCTTCCACGACACCACACTCTTTAAGCATTGTTTTCCTACTTTCCTGGATGCTCTTTCTCAGTTACCTTTGATTTTCACCTACTCTGTTGACCATCAGCTGTTGGTTTCCTCAGAATTCTGTCCTAAGCATACTATTCTTTCTAAACCACATTTTCACTTTAGGTACTCTCATCCGCAATCATAGTTTCAGTTATGCAATGCAGTTCTCCATCTCCAACCCAGATCTTACTCCTGAATCCCAGACCATACATTTGATTGCCTTCTAGACAACTTTTATTGGATGTTTTATGAGCCTCTTAAGTTCAATAAATAGCTCTAAAACGGAACTCACCATTTTCCCTTCAGACCTTCCTTCCTCTCTTCCATTGAGAATTAATTCAATAAATAACTCTCTAACTTATCAAGACAGAAGGAAGATCCTTGCTTTCTGCTACCTCACCTTCTACATGCAGCAGTCACCATGGCTTCTCAAATATGCCTTCTGAACAATATTCACATATGACTTCCCTTCATCCCTACCTACCTTTCTAGTCTAAGTCACCATTGTTTCTATCCTGGGATTTCACTCTTTTCTCCAAAGTGATCTTATCTATAAATTATTTCTGAACTATGCTTAAATATGCTGCTTAAAACTACCCAAAGTCTTTCTATTGTTGTCATTTTAGATTCTAAAATTGCTATGAGGCCTTGCTAGATTTAGCCACTGATTTCCTCTCCCAGCTTCATCTCATAAAGGTCTCCCATCTGCTTTCCGTATTCCGGCTGTGGCAGAATAAAGTTGGCTACAGCTTCTTGGTCACAGCTCTATTAAGATTGAAATATATTTCTTCTCCTCTTGCATATGAACTCACTCTAAGGAGGCTTAGCCAATAGAATGCAGCAGAAATGACCTTACCTAAGCCCCTGGCCTAGTCTTTAAAAAGACTGGCAGCATGTGTTTTCTGTCTTAGAACATTTGTTCATCCCTGGGACACTCCTTAGAATGCAGTCATCATGCAATTCGAAACCCAGGTCACATGGCAAGCTTCCAGCTTACAGCCTGCAACCTGAAGCCCAGCTGAATTTACACATGGCAAAACTGCCCAGCTGATACCTGTAAACCTACAGATTCATGCGAGGTAATTAAATAATTGTTTTAAGCTATTAAGTTTTGGGCTGGTTTGTTATGTAAGAGTAGACTACAGGAACAAATGTTTATATTCCATCTTGTCTGTGTTTCAACTCACAGAGATAGAAACTATGTTTTGCTTGTTCACCATCGCATTTCCAATGCTCACCAGAGTTACTGGTTTACAGCAGGTGCCCAATTAATATTTATTGATAGATATTACTAATTAATAGATAAATGAAAAGATACATTATTAATATCCTATCTTAACAAGGGCAGTATAACCTAATAATAAAAGATGCTGGGCTTTTAGACAACACTTCATGGTTTAAATTATGCCTCTTTTATTTACTGCTGACTGATCAGGAAATGTTGCAAAAACTCTCTGTGTCTCAGTTTAATTATCTGAGAAGTAGAGGATTTTGAGGATTAAATAAGATTATAGTACATGTGTGTGTGGGTGAGAGAGAGAGAGCGTGTGTGTATTTATGAACAAATGGCTAAAGGCTCCCAGAGAATGTTAGTTGTTATTATTTATTTATTAAAATGATTAACTGTGAGGCAGAGAAAGTGAATAGCTCTTCTGAGTTCACCTTGCTAGCTAGCTGCAGAGATGGGACTAGCAACCTGCTTTCCTGATTGTCCTTTTTTACTTTTCCATCTTCTTATTTCCTTTTCTTTTATTATGTTACAATCATCTGTGGTGGGTAGAATAAATGGTCCCCCATGTCCTAATTCCCAAAACCTGTGAATATGCTAGGTTATATGTCAAATGAAATTAAGATTGCAGTTAGAATTAAAGCTACTAATGAGCTGAGTTTGAGATGGGGCAATTATCCTGGGTTAATCAGATGGCCCCACTGTAATTGTAAGGGTTCTTGTAAGTGAAAGAGGAATTCAAAAGAAGGAGAGTACTAGAGAGACACAATGCAAGAAAGACCAGGCCTTCCATTGCAGGATTTGGAGATGGAAGGAGGCCATGAGCCAAGGCATGCAAGTGACCCCTAGAAGTTGGACAAGGCAAGGAAATGAATTATCCCCTAGAGACTCCAGGAAGAAAAGCAGCCCTGCTGACACCTCAATTTTAGCCCACTGAGACTAATTTCACACTTCTAACCTCCAGAACTGTAAAATAATAGATTTGTATTGTTATAAATCACGGTTTGTAGTAATTTGTTATGGCAGCAATAGAAAGCCAATACATTACCCAATCAATGTGGTGAACTTATAAACCTGCATGCAGTTTCAAAGTTTAACACATGATACATCTGCAGAAGTGGTTGTGGAATTTATGGTACTTTATTCACATATTTTCATTTGGGACCATTTAGATTCCTCTATCTTCCTTTATTAATATATTTTACCACTAAAAAAGATAATATTTAAATTTTTTATAACTAAGAGTAAAGTTCAAAAATGAGGAAAGGTAAAGACAGAGAAATAGTAGAAAAGAAAAATAAAGTTAATTGTAATAATTCAAGGATTTTTGAGTGTAAATCGCCACCAGAAAGATCAGCATCTATGATCTTGACTCTCCCTTGGGGAAGAGAACTTCATCTTCCTGACTCCTCATTGGACAAAACTATTGAATTCATTGCAATTATAATAAGATTCTCATTGACTATATACTGTGTAGATATTTTTTAAACAGCTAAATGTCTGCCAAGGCAGCCAACTCAACACACTATTAAATTGATTTAGGGCAACGGGGTACAGAAGCTGTCACACCTGTAAACGATCCTTTAACCATCTGTTGTGGTGCATTTATATGCTAAAATCTTCAGAAGTAGCAAAACCCTTTGATCCCACCTGGTCGACCATATTTTCTGAATTAATTCCAATAAAATAGAATAGAATTATAATACATGAGCTCTGCGTTCCTTAAACAGCAACAAGAATGTTTAGGTGGATTTTTTGGTATACTGTTTTCGAACCACTTTTAAAATCCTGAGCCACTACAGAAAAAAAAAACTCTTCAAATGAATACAACCAAAAGTTATTTTTATTTAAAACAGTATTAATATTTATAATTTCAGGAAGGCAAATATAAAACAGTCATCTCAGAGTAATCTATTAGTGTCTGCTTATTGCTTTGAGTATTCACCAGGGAATGAGAAAAGAAAACAGGAATAAAAAAGAAGGAAAGAGAATGCCTTGGAAAAAACAAGGGTATAATATCAACCACTTTAAATTGAAGAGCTTAATATATTTTCGGCTTCTCCACTCAAAGGAAATAACCATGTAAGATTGTGGCCTAGTTTGCAGAAATCCTGCTATTCGTAGCTTACCTTGACAAATTTAAATGTCAACCAGAAAAGTCATATTTTTAGTAAGCATGTGTTAACTACTCTGGGCTAAATAATTAACAGTTTACACACTGTGTCTTTTTATAAAAGTATAACTTGGTTGTAACTGGGGACTCGGTTTTGTGTTGCTTTTTCTTGTCCTACCGTATACAACTTTGATCAGTAATAAATCATTTTGGAGGTATTAATATACATGGAAAATAGAAGCAAAGTGGTTTCCCTAAGAAGTTTTTATGGTGACTTCGGTACTTTGCTCTTATTCTGCCCCTTTCTTTAGGGGTTAATGAGAGAGAGAGAGAGGGAAATTGAGCTAAAAAGGAGTACACTGTGTCTCTGTTAATGAAAGATAAATATATACCAAGAGATTTGTTTGGATGCAACACAAAAGGTAATCAATTAAATAGTGGTCAGAATAGATTCTAGGCATGTAAACTGGGTTGAAATTGGGGGCAAGGCTTAGAGGAAAGCTAGACTATAGCTCAGAAGCCATATGGGCACTCAAAATTCATTCCTGATGCCCTCTAAGTCTAAGAGGTGATTGCCAGGACAATTTGTTGGGAGTTCATAACTGGTTTGGTGGAAAGTAACAATCTTCTTCCTGATTTTTCGTTATTAAGATTGGCCCAATAACTTCTATGGACTTGAGTTTGAAGTTAGAGCCCATCCAGCAAAAAAAAGTTACCATTATTTGGGAAGGACAGGGATGCAGAAAGAGATCAAGGGATGATAAAGAGTAGCCTAATGCTTGACTCCCCAAAATGCAAAGTTAGGTGTGTTCACCAAACTTCCATATGAAAATTTAGATAATAAGCTTATTAAGTCTCCTTATTTATGAAGATTACAAGTGAAGTTCCCTAATGAAACAGTTTCAATCATGCAATTTTGATACTTATACTGGCCACCAAAATAGGACCAAAATATAGAAGACAATTTTGGTCATTAAAAAGTTAAAGACAATTTTGGTCATTAAAAAATTAACAAGTTCTTAAAGGACCATTATCTAATATGGATAAAGAGGACGTTATATTTCCCAGCAAGAGGGTAGCAGGGGTTTCAATTCATCAAAACTTTTGAGCATATAACCAGTAAAGCGCATGGTATAATGGAAAGAACAAAATAATTTTTGAACTCCTATAAAATCCTAGGTCTTCCACAGACTGATGCAGGAACTGATTTGAAGGCAAAATCAGGAAGCTGGCAGGAAGAGTAGGGTATAGGAGGGCAAAAGAGACAATATTATACACTGCTTTGACAGAAAAGACACATATTTTCAAAAAAAATACTAAACACCAGAACAATGTAAATACCCAAAGATAATAAGCAACTGAGCTGAACTAACAAATACAAAGCAAAAGAAACATCACGAAGGTGGAGGAAGTATTTTTTAATCCTTAATAATTTAGCTAATCTAATTTCCACATATTGTCTTTCAGCAAACTGGCTTATGTGACAAGTTTGTCATTCAGTGAATTAGATTATTTCTCTGCAATTTCTTAGCTAAATAAGTTTAGTCAAGTTACTTAATTTCTGAGTCTGGTTATTTTTAATTTGTTTGATTGGTGTTGTTTGCTGATAGGATAAAATAACACTTAAAAAATAGTACTCAAAACATATTAGATGCCAAATATATCCTTTTCAAATTTTAATATACACAAGGCAATGTAGACAAATATTATAGAGACCAAAATAGGAATAACATTTAGTGCATACCCACATTTTGAATGCAAAGGTAAAATAAATAAGATTTAGAGCATACTCATATTCTGAATACAAAGATTTAAAAAATATATGTTAAATGTTGATATATAAAATTATGTGTCAACTTTATTTAGAAGTTCCCCTGCACAAGCTCTATTGCCTGCCGCCATGTAAGATGTGCCTTTGCTCGTCCTTCACCTTTGCCACGATTGTGAGGCCTCCCCAGCCATATGGAACTATGAATCCATTAAACCTCTTCCCTTTATAAATACCCAGTCTCAGGCATGCCTTTAGAGCAGCATGAGAATGGACTAATACATGTAATATCTTGAAAAGTCTTAGAAGGTATTATTTTGACTTTGCCCTCAACAATGAATAAGAATTTTAACAATAAGGCAGAGCTAAATGAAAGGCCAAATCAATAGAGAAAATGGTAAGTGAGGGAGCTAAGAAGAAAAGGAGCAGGAATGAGGTGAGGTAGAGGAGAAAGAGAGAAAGGGAGAAGAAGGGAAGAAAAAGAAGGAAGAAAGAGGAGGAGGGGGAGGAAATGAAGGAGGAAAAAGAGGAGGAGACCACCAACAATCACAATAACAACATCATGAATGTGACAAGGGCTCCTGTTATCCCTCAATATCTAGTTTTCCCTTTTTTTCCAAAGTGATAGCAATTGAAACTGGGCATATATTTGATTTTTGTAAAGATGACATATTCTAGCGTTTTATGCATCTAGATGTGGCCAGGTTACTAAATTGTAGCCAATGACATGTGAGAGAAAGTGATATATGGAAATTCCAGGATATGTTTTAAAGGCAGGGGGAGTGACCTTTTTCTTCACTTCCTCGTTCATGGTGCTAGGATTGGGGACTTGGTGCTAAGTCACCATTGATCATGCTGAAAGGGACAAAGTGCTTCAGATGGCAGAATCTGGGTTCCTAAATAATAGCATAAAATATCTATCATGTAAGCCCTTGACCATCTATATCTAGGTTGCTATGTGACACAGAATTACAGCTTTATATTGATTAAGCCACAGTTATATGGGGTCTATTTTTATTGTAATTAACAGTATGAATTCAAGAAATGGTACATAATCTGATATGAATAAAATACAGAATGTCTGGGAGAGAGAGAATGAATGACAAGGCCAGGAAGTAAAGTCCTGGACAAGTCTAAACTATTATATATAGCTTCTCTGCAATGGAAAGTCACAGATCACTTTCAAAAGGAGTAGAACATGATCAAATATGTATGTTAGAAAAATAAATAAAATGTGTAGAACAAATCATAAGGAATTGTCTTTACAAGAAAAAAGGACAATGAACTCTGTTATGACATAGACTTGTGACCACAACAGTAGGAGTAGGAATGAGAAGAATTCTAATTTGGAGATTGAACTGACAGAATTGTGCAAGTAAAAAAGAAGAATGTATGAGCAAGGAGGAGGCATAAAAAATATGTGTAATCAAATACAATTCTAATCTAGTTAAGTATCATAAAAGAAAGTACAGATGTAATGGTGTTACCTGGCAGTGAGTTATAAGGAATTTTAAAAATTACATTAAATTCTAATCAAGTCTAAGTGACAATTGGAAATGCAAGTGTGGAGGACAAGTTAGAGTTTGTAATCTATATTCAGTACTTTCAAATAGGAACAGCAGTGGAAGACTTGGTAGTAAACAAAATGGACAGGAAGGAGGATTATATAGAACGAAAGTAAAGAGAACAGAAAACAGAATCATATAATGTTCTTGCTCCTCTTTTAAATTATTTGCATTTTGTTCTTCTTCCAGGACACAGGATGAATGTACCCTAAAGTTCATATCATCTGTGAACATAAAATGGCCTGTGAAATAAACTCTCTACAGGATTACAGAGCAGTAAGGGAGCTTGAATTGCCTGGATAGCATGACAGAGCTGTAGGAAAGCTTTAACTACTTTCATAGCTAAAGAAAGTAACATGCAAACAAGCAAAATGATTTGTTCAAGGGAGCTTCACTACAATAGCAGACGTCTCCCCAATCCCAGTATGCTGGAGCATATTTTGAAGCTCCATAATTTATAAATTCTAGTGAAGGTAGGCCAAAGACATTTTCTCTTCCTCTTCACTTTATTTATTTATATTTTTCAGACAGGGTCTCACTGTGTTTCCCAGGCTGGAGTGCAGTGGCTCAAGCATGGCATACTGCAGTCTCAACCTCCTGGGCTCAAGCAGTCCTCTCATTTCAGCCTCCTTAGTAGGTGGGACCACAGGTGCACACCACCACATCTACGTATGTTTTATTTTTTATATTTTTGTAGAGATGGTTTCTTGCCATATTACCCAGGCTGGTCTCGAACTCCTGGACTCAAGCAATCATCCTGTCCTGTCTTGGCCTCCCAAAGTGCTGAGATTATAGGCATGAGCCACCACAACTGGGTGTCCCCTTCCTTTATCTTCTACAATTTTTTTCTGTTTCTTTCTGCCTTATAACCATTGGAACTTATCGGGGGAACCCGCCCCCGATAATTCAACGTGGGTCCTTTTCTATTTTCCCTAAGTGTCGGCTGCTCTGAGAAATAAAGGGAAAGAGTAGAAAAGGGAGAAATTTTAAAGCTGGGTGTTCGGGGAGACATCACATGTTGGCAGGTTCTGTGATGCCCCAGAAGCCGCAAAACCAGCAAGTTTTTATTAGTGATTTTCAAAAGGGGAGGGAGTGTACAAATAGGGTGTGGGTCACAGAGATCACATGCTTCACAAAGTAATAAAATATCACAAGGCAAATGGAGGCAGGGCGAGATGACAGGACAAGGGCAAAATTAAAATTGCTAATGAAGTTTCGGGCATACATTGTCATTGATATATCTTATCAGGAGACAGGATTTGAGAGCAGACAACCGGTCTGACCAAAATTTATTAGGTGGGAATTTCCTTGTCCTAATAGGCCTGGGAGCGCTACAGGAGACTGGGGCTTATTTCATCCCTTATCTTCAACTGTAAAAAGACAGACGTCCCCAGAGTGGCCGTTTTAGAGACCTCCCCCTAGGAATGCATTCTCTTTCTCAGGGATGTTTCTTGCTGAGAAAAAGAATTCAGTAATATTTCTCCTATTTGCTTTTGAAAGAGGAGAAATATGGCTCTGTTCCACCCGGCTCTCAGGCAGCCAGACCTAATAGTTATCTCCCTTGTTCCCTGAACATTGCTGTTATCCTGTTCTTTTGTCAAGGTGCCCAGATTTCATACTGTTTAAACAATTTGTGTAGTTAACGCAATCATCACAGGGTCCTGAGGTGACATACATCCTCAGCTTAGGAAGATGACGGGATTAAGAGATTAAAGTAAAGACAGGCATAGGAAATTACAAGAATAGTGACTGGGGAAGTGATAAATGTCCATGAAATCTTCACAATTTTCATTTAAAGATTGCAGTAAAGACAGGTGTAAGAAATTATAAAAGTATTAATTTGGTGAATTAATAAATGTCCATGAAATCTTCACAATTTATGTTCTTCTGCCATGGCTTCAGTGGGTCCCTCCATTCAGGGTCCCTGACTTCCCGCAACAGGAACTCTAACATTTTTTAAAAGAATCAGTAATACTGAGGCTTAGTTAGCAAGATTCTATAACATTTGGGTTTTCATAGTCTTCAATTGTGCTGGATAAAATTATTTCTAGTAGAAAATTTAGTTGGTTGCCATAAAAATTCTTTTAATAAAGTAAATTATCTTCATAAATAGATTAAAAGATCAAAAGAAAATTATATACTGGTCTCACAAGTGAAGCTGAAGTGTCGTGATGAATGATACTTTTGAAATCAATCCTGCAGATTTTCAGAAATTTTTCGTTAAATTGTTATTTCTTGCATTTCAGTTGAGAAGACAATGCAATCATCTATTATGAATAATATTTAGAGAAAGTAGTCAAAGGCTCATTGATCTTTGTAAGCAGTTAGACCTGTATTTTTAAGACACATTCACTTTTTCAGGCTCCAAAGCAACAAAGATAAAATCTCCCTTCAATGGTGTGAAAGAGCAAAATAAATCCCATGAACAAATCACAACCTCAGAGGGCGATTAAATATTGGAAAGAAAAAACCACATGATATATCTGAAAGTGGCACAGCACAGTAAAAAGTCACAGGGCTTGGGATAAAAAAGTGATAGATTCCATCCCAGCTTTCTCGAAGGTGACACTAGGAAAGTTAACCTCTGTGTTTATCTGGCATTTACCTGACACTTGTTTTTATCTGACAATTTCTTGTCATGGTTTCACTTGGGTTATTTTGAAAGCATAACTGATTTCTTCCAACTTTGATTAGCTTTTTAATGCTTCCTACTCAGGCTAGAATGATAAGGTTTTTTATTTTAAAAACTCTACTACAAAAAATAATGCTTTCCAAATACCTCAACACTCACAATGACCTGTAATTTAATCCTATTTTACAGATGATGGTACTGCAAATAAATCAAGCAATTAACAAAGCAGAATCCAAATTTGGCTCTCCCCATTACAAAATCATGTCGCTTTCTACACATCTTAGAGTTCATCCTTCTAGATACCAAGTCCTTCTAGATATCCAGATGTCACCTGCTTTCTAGATATCAAGTCAGGATGGCAGAAAAAAAGTTTTTGTAATTTCCCTAGTTTCAGTTACAGATTAATTAAGTATCATACTATAGGGAGAATGTGGAAGTGTGGACTAGATGCAGTGGCCAGTTCCTCAATAAGAAATTAATTCTCTTAAAAGGAGGAAAGAGTTGGCATTTGTGTTCCAGTTGCTCCCTAGAACACAAATGGTTCTGTGTGATCATAATTTCAGAATTTATTTCTATCTAAGATCATGATTTAAGTTGTTTTGAGCTGTTGCATTATTTTAATTTCACTAGAAAAATACACTTCAATTAATATTTAATGAGCTTATTCAAGTTATGTGTGTGGTAAGGATAAGATTGGAATCTAATTATGTTTACCATGAATACATGCTTATTGTTAAAAAATAAAGAAAACACATAAAACAGTGAGAGTGGAAACCTCTCATAACTGTATAACAAACATATATATGTAATATATAATATTATATATAATATATGTAATATATAACATATATATGTAATATATAATTTATATATTATATATATATATTATATATTATATATTATATATAACATATATATGTAATATATGTTATATATTATATATAATATATAACATATATATGTAATATATAATATTACAATTTGATGTAAAGCAGCTCTCAATAGTTTGCTGTATCTTCTGAAGACATTTTATTGGTACCTATAGATATGTATTACACACACATATACACAGTACTTTTATTTAAAAGAATCAAGAATTTTTATACTTAACATGATAAAATTTTTCTGTGTCACTGTATATAAAACTACATGTACGAATGATATCTCATTGACGTTTTATTTTGCATTTATCTGATGCTTAGCAATGTTAAGCATTTTTTCATATGCTTGTTGGCCATTTGTATGTATTCTTTTGAAAAAAGACTATTCATATCCTTTGTCCACTTTTTATAGGGTTATTTGGTTTTTATGTTATGGTTGTTTATTTGGTTTTTGTTACGGTTGTTGAGTTGTTTGAGTCCCTTGTAAATTCAAGATATCACACCCCTGCTGGATGCATAGTTTGCAAATATTTTCTCCCATTCTGCAGGTTGTCTGTTCACTTTGTTGATCATTTCTTTTGCTGTGTAGAAGCTTTTTAGTTTAATTAAGTCCCATGAGATATCATCTTACACCAGTCAGAATGGCTATTATTAAAAAGACAAAAAACAACAGATGTTGGTGAGGACGCAGAGAAAAGGGAATGCTTATACACTGTTGGTAAGAATATAAACTAGTAAAACCCCTATGGAAAACAGTATGGAGATTTCTCAAATAACTAAAAATAGAACTAGGATTTTATCCAGCAATCCCACTACTGGGCATATACCCAAAGGAAAATAAATTATTATATTAAAAAGATACCTGCCCTCGTATTTTTATCGCATCACTGTTCACAAAAGCAAAGATATGAAATAAACGTAAATGTCCATCAGTGGATGATTGGATGAAGACAATATGGTGTGTGTGTGTGTGTATTCAGCCATAAAAAGAATGAAATCGTGTTTTGCAGCAACATGGATGGACCTGCAGGCCATTATTTTAAGTGAAACAACTCAGAAACAGAAAGTCAAATACTACATGACCTTATTTATAAGTGGGAACTGAACAACATGGCCATAGAGTGTGGAATGATAGACGGGGAGACTGGGTAAGAGGGAGAGAAGGTGGTAGGGATGAGAAATTACCTATTAGGTACAATGTACACTATTCAGGTGATGGTTACACTAAAAGCCCAGACTTCAACACTACCTAATATATCCATCTAACAATACTGCACTTGTGCCCCTTAAATTTATACAAACATTTTAAAACTATGTGCACTATATTTTCATAACTACAGAAATATGCCAAATTGATTGGTTGTCATTTAATTAACTAATTCATGATTGGTGACCAGGTACGTTAAATTCAAATTTTCACCACTGAAAAACAGTGAGTATCCTCTACTTATATCTTTGACCATATAAGTGAATATCCCAAGAACAAATTAGTAGAAGTAAAACGTCTAGGTTAAATACACACATTTGATTAAGTTAAAGCCTCTCCAACTCCGGGTGACAGTCCATTGCCTATTTCACACACCCTCAACACAGGATAGTTCCAATATATATAATATTATCAATTTGACAGTTTCTTAACATGTTTGCTGGATATTTGTATCTCTTCTTATTATTGCATTTCTTGACCTTGACCATTTTCATATTGAGTTGTTTGCCTTTTTCTTTTTGATTTCAGGGGCTCTTTCCGGACTATAGACTATGGATATTAACAATTTATCAGTTACATGAAGCAGAAACATTTTCCCAATCTGATTTTTTAAATGGGTTAACTCTATCTTCTATGACATAAATTGGTTTTGAGTTTTATGTCATCAAATCTACTAACCGTTTCCTTTATGGCTTATGTTCTTTGTGTTATATCCTTTAACAGATTACCTCTGTTTAGGCCTAGACTTTAAAACGATGCTTCTATACGTTCTTATAGTACACACAGAAAATAGAGAGCTTATGTTATTTTTTCCAGATAATTATCTAATTGTTTTCAAATCATTGGTAGATTAATATAACTCCCACCCTCCCCAACAATTAAAAAACTTCCTTTATCCTTAGAGTATAATCATACATACATATTTCTGGATTTCTAGACAGAAAAAAGAGCATTAATGTCTCTCATTTTTAGTCTAACCCTGTGACTGCCATTAGGGAAAAAAAAAAAGAAAGTATGTGTGTGTGCGTGTACTTTTACTCTTTTATTTTAAAATATTTCTGACAAGTCTACTCTTTGACGAAAAAGATTTATGTTACCTGTATTTGACAAATCTTTTACAAGAACCTTTTTCTCTAATGTTTATTTTGCCATTTCCCTGATTAGCATAAGATAAATTTTGGTTCTACCTGAAAGTGGGGGTAAACAGAATAATAACAAACATTAATGAGCTTGTCTCAGCACTAGTTAAAATTCCCAGTGAAATTATCTCATTGTATCAATTTTGTGGGATATGAAACAGGAGCAGCAATAGGAACTGATTAATCATTTTGATTTCTATAAAGAAGCAATTTTCCCAAATATAATAATTTTAATAAACTTTGGTAGAGGCAATTGATCAAACAAAATTTTAAGTTCTAGTATTCTATTCTGCTTTCAATTAAATTTTTGAAACCCCACCAGTAGGAAATCTCCATAGATTAGGATAGCAGTTCTCAAACAGTTTCAGAAGAATATACTTATACAATCTTAAAAATTATTAAGGACCCCAAAGAGCTTTTGTATACATGAGTTACACTTATTCCCACTTACTGTATTTTACATTAAAACAAAAAGGGGCCAGGCATAGCGGTTCATGTCTGTAATCCCAGCACTTCGGGAGGCCAAGGTGGGTAGATCCCTTGAGCTCAGGAATTCGAGATTAGCCTTGGCAACGTGGCAAAACCCTGTCTCTACCAAAAATACAAAAATTAGCTAGGTGTGGTGGTGTGTGCCTGTGATCCCAGCTACTTGGGAGGATGAAGTGGGAGGATGGCTTGAGCCCAGTAGGCAGAGGTTGCAGTGAGCCAAGATAATGCCACTGCACTTCAGCCTGGGCGACACAGCAAGACCCTGTCTCAAAAAAAAAAAACAAAAAGGTGGGGGATTAAGATATTTATCAGTTCATTTAAAAAATAATAATAGTAATAAACACCACAATTTTATATTAATAACATATTTTGTGAAAAATAACTACATGGTCCCCCCAAAATTAGGAGAGTAACACTGCTTTTATTTCTGCAAATCTCTTTTTCTTTTTTAAAGACAGTTGGGTTTTCATATTTTGCTTTGTTGGATTTAAATTAGAAAAATCTGTCTTGAACTAGATAGCAATTTTAAATGTAGAGAGTATTTTGTTAGCCTTTTCAGGTAATTGTGGATATTATTCTTTGAAACCACACTAACAGTTGGCAAATGATAGTGTCTTAAGGGTTATCTATAATGTGAATTTCTAAACCCATATAAATAAACATTTTATACTCTATTCCATTAAAAATCCACTGGTCTATCTTGTGCTTGACTGGATCATTTAGTCACACTTAATTCTCTAATATTATGCATTGATCATTTAGAAAATATTAGTTCACAATTAGGTAGATGACCCAAATGTTGCCATAATTCATTATACAATATCAAAATATTATTTTCCTCAATATTACCACACACCTCATATGAGAAGCCTTTAATTATTGGGAAAATGACAAGCTCACAATGGCAGAGGCAATTTTTCCAAAATTCTCTTTTTAACTTAAAAGCTTGAATTTTAGAACTGGCAACAAAAACTGTCCATTGTTTCCCTTAAAGTGACAGACTTACTTTATTCTTCTAAAAAATAAATGTTGGTCAAATAACCAAACACAAATAACCCTAGTTCATCAGTCATTCCTTCAAGTAAAAGGATGGCCTATGACAGAAGAGTGGCCCAGTCGGCTCGCAGTCACAACCACACAAGTGCTTTTGTTCCATATGATCATGTGGACTTCCATGTGACAGTTAAGAACTTCCTGCATACCCTTCATTTGGTTTTGCAGAATACAAAAATATGTCTACTTAAGGGTTGAGATTCAATAAAATCTACAACTTTTACTGTTTTATGATAGACATTCTTAAGCAAAATTGTTTTGTTTTGTTTTGAGGGATTTTTTGTGAGTGTGTGGCAGGGATGAAGATGACTACTCAGTACAGCTGATTCATGTCAATGGTTGCACTAATGGTGCAAAAGCAACAAAGTGGAAAAGGCAAACTATGTCTTGATATTATTAATATTATGAAAATGATTGTTATTTTGTAGATCCCCGTATAGGGTCTCAAGAATGCCTGGCAACCTAACACAACACTTTGAGAATTACCAGACTAGTCTATAAGGCTTCTGCCCTAGTGGTACTACTAATTGTATTACTCTCAAAATGACTGAATGAACAAATTTTCTACTGAATTTCCATCCCTGCAGTGACATGCAGCAAATAATCTTAAAAATAGACATTTTATTGTAGTAGTCTCTGCCACTGACAGTGTTATTGGAAGAACATTCATCTCTGCTTGTTCTTCTTTATTAGAAAGATATGCATCTTCATTGGTTTTGCAATCTATTCATACTGTCAACATTAATAGTGAACATCAGCAAGCCGTCACTACCAAGAAAAATGAAGTAAAATTAATAAAGAGAAAAATGTACTACAGGACTAAGTAAGATAACACCTCAGTGAAAATTTTAACTGTACAGACTCCAGTGAAAAACTTTTATTCTCTAAGTGAACAGATGAGTTAATGAATGGGCTGAACGACATCTAAAAAAATAAAATAAAATGCCAGTTGGGAATCCACATTGTTTTTTATTTTTTTCTGCCCTTTCCAGGACACTAGTATTATACTGCTTCTCTTATAATAAGCCACCCTGTCAGAAAAATATTTGTTAAAGTGTATTTATGTAATAGGATGTGGGGAAAGCATTTTAAATACTTTCTGAGACATTTTCCATGGCATCTCTCATTTCTGTGATTCTCCATCTCCTGGTCCAAGGATGTGAGTCTGCCCCTGTCTCTCCTCTAGTTATTATTGCCTTCCTTCATTTAAAATGACAATGAAATTTTTCATAAAAAACTTGAAGGTATACGCTTTTTTTGATAGGCTCCATAATGCATCAAATCCAAGCAATTTAGGTAATTAAATTTCTGTTTCTGTTTCCAGGGTTATGCTCTTTCACATTCCCCAACCCCTAGAAAAAGGTGAAAGGAGAAAAACAGAGCAATAGGGCAGAAACATCAACAGCAAGAAGAGGAAAAGCAAGCATAGCTGGAGAATGGGAAGCACCCTCTCTAATACTTTCTAGTAACTGTGCTAATACCATAAATGTCCCCTGGGATCATGAAGTATGTGAGTGGAGGAGGATTTTTACTTTGGGAATAAGTTGAGAAGATTGTGTTTTATGTAAAACGATGTGGAGAAAGATTTTTATTATATAGCAAGATTATCATATCCTTTTCCTGATTTGTTATTTTTACCAAGTAGCAAATGGGCCTTCTTGATTTAATTGTGGGTTTTAACTTGGGAGTGAAGTTTATGTGTTTATATGTTTCTATATATTTATCACCTTTGTCATCTATATAGATCTGTATCTCGTGAACTTTAAAAGTAGGTAGCCCCATTTATATCTTTGAATCTGCATTTGACTCCATTTAGGAACGAATGAAAAGAAACTCTGGATATTCATGTAATGCATGCATTGCCCAGGTGAGAAAAAAGGACCGACTATTATAACTTCTTTTCTTCAATTGCGAAAATTGACCCTGCTCCATGTTTAGCACCAGGATGCCATAATTATAACCTCCCTGTGCCTCAATGATAAGATAGAAAACAGCCCAATACTCTCTTTCCTATGGCATTAGTCTCCTAAGATATAATAATTTGCTTAAATTTAGATGGCTATCAATTAAATAAGATTTTTCATCAAGTTAAACTTTAATATATAGGGCTTTGTGTTTCTACTCTTACTTTCCATGAAGCAATATCTTTCCTCAAGGAATATAATCTTGAAGCAGTTATACTTGTATCTTCAACTTAAAGCTGGGGGCTGTAAATATCTATCAACAAAAAAGGGAGCCATTTTCTTTTGATTTATAGAATGCGACAATTATTGGCAGTCCCATTAACGCATAACCACTAATTCCAATTTAAGGAATGCCTGCATAATGGTAGCTTTAAAAATATTTGCAGATCATGATAGTCAGTTCTTTAAAATAAAAACAATATATAATTGCTTTTACTAGAGAAATGGTCCCAGCATATGTCCATCGTTTGATTGCAAGACTCATAAACCATAAATATTACTTATAAGAAAGACACAGCAACAGTTGGGCTTACCACTAAAATGGTGGTTCTCTTTCAAGATTTTTAGTTCCTCTGTAACATGAAGACAATGGGAAATAAATTTGTATTAACAATTAACAGTAAATACATCCTTAGCGTCTACAATGGGCTCAGACCTAGGCCAGTTCTCCAGGACACACAATGGAAGCGTTAAGCATAATGCCATTCTTAAAGAAATTGTAACCCACTGAGGAACGAGACTACTATCATTCAGTGAGTACTTTCTGTATCCCAGGCACTTTGCCAGGCACATGATTATTTTAAGAGTCAGAAATTCTAGGTACAAATCCAGGCTCTTTCTATAAATAACTGTGTCACCTTTGACTAAATCACCTGGTCTTTCTGGAATTAATTCCTCCGTATGTCAAAAGCATTCAATAAATAATCAGTAAATCTCTCGGCCTTGATGAGTCTATAATTTCACATTGTGACTAAAATAATTTGGAAGTTCTAAAGACTCTGGTAGTAAGGATTAGAATGTTCCAGAAAGGGTTCACAGTGCATAAGAATGTGAGTTTGATGTTGAAGGATGTATCTAAACTCTTGAACAGTCAGAGGAAAGTTCTAAGATATTCAAATTATGAAGTACACAGGGACTTTCAAGTGGCTCTGGAGGTTCATAAAGTTTCTTCTTAGATTTCAAACTCCCTGGTGGCTGTGTTTTATCCCTCAGCACTGCGTCTAGCACATTTGAGGTATTGAAAATATTTGTGAGCTGGGCGTGATGGCTCATGCCTTTAATCCCAGCACTTTGGGAGGCTGAGGCAGGAGGATCACTTGAGGCCAGGAGATCCAGAGCAGGCCGGGCAACATAGACTTCATGTTTACAAAACATTTTCAAAATTAATCAGGTGTGGTGTTGCACGCCTATAGGCCCAGCTACTCAGGAGGCTGATTTGAGAGGATTGCTTGATTCCAGGAGGTTAAAGTTACAGTGAGCCAAGATCATCCCACTGCACTCCAGTCTGGGTGACAGAGAGTGACCCTGTCTCAAAAAACATATTTTTTTAAATAAAAAAAGAATTATTTTATTTATATATATATATATATATATATATATATATATAGTGAAAGAAAGGAATTCTCTGCCATGGTCGGTATATATATATACATACGTGTATATACACATATGTGTATATATATACTTGTGTATATATACACGTGTATATAGACACGTGCATAAATATATACGTATGTATATATATACAGGTGTATATATATACGTATATATACATGTATATATACATATATATACATATATACACGTATATATATACACACGTATATATATATACACACACACACATAAACACACACACACATATATATATAGGCTCACTGAAACCTCCGCCTCCCGAGTTCAAGCAATTCTCCTGCCTCACCCTCCCGAGTAGTTGGGATTACAAGCGTGTGCCACCACACCGGCCTAATTTTTGTATTTTGAATATATTAATTATTTAAATACAAGCTTTGTATTTAATATTTTGTATTTTTAATGTATTACTTAAATATAAGCTTTGATTCTGAGTACATCTTATGTCTTTATATGAATTATATGCAACTGACACATTTACTCACATATGAAAAAATGCTGTCTGTTAAACTTTATCTGTTTTTAATATACAATTTTAATTATATAATTAGGTTACCTCTGATTCAGTTTTATACTTTGGTAGTAATAATACTGACTTCAAAAATATAGACTATCGACTGGATATCAAATTCTAATATAAATTTTGATATATATATAAAATATGATATATGATATGATATGATTATATATATATACACGTCAAAGAGTTATCCCCAGAGTACAAAACGTTAAGGGAGAACTCTACAACCTAGGCAGAGTTTATACTTGTTATATTTGACAAAAGAATAACAAATGATTTCCCAGTGAGGATAATAAGAGCAAAGATTAGGCGTCTGTCTTGTAATCCAGAGTTAAACCTTAAGCGTCTCTTCCAGAAAAGTGTTGATGCTGTCTGCATGGTGACGCCCCTTCTGCCTGCACCTGCCTCACTAACTCCTCCCTGAACTCCACTTCTTGCACATGTCCCTTCCTGTGCCTCATTCTGGTGTGAAACTCTGGAATTCCCTTTAAGTCAGAGCTGTACCATTTCTACATTCATTGGATAACTCTGATCTCAGCTTTCTCCCCAGAGCTAACAAAAAGTCGAAGTGTACTGCCTCCCCCGAAATAACCCTCCAGCCAGAAGCCAAGCATGCCCACTGCTCCAGGTGACCTGCTCACCTTCGTGGCTCAGGTCTCAGTCCTGGAATAATGTGACAAGTCCTCTTGTGTGATTACGTATGTGCCCCACATTCAAAAATAACCTTCCTTGGACCCTATCTCACATCCTTCATTGACCACCTTCTACATGCTAGGTACATTTCTGGGCACCTTACCAATTGAAGAGTCACAAGTCATGACCATCATTCTTTTTTCTACCCCCACATTTACACAAAATACAGGGATTTCCCAGTTTCATCAATCACAATGATCCTGCACTTTCTGGATTCATGTACCAAACATATTCAGAGGCATACAGCAATCCATCTTCAAATCTGTTGTGAATTTGTCTTTTTGTTCTCCTAGTATCTTTGCAATATGTTGGGAGATGATGAATCTGAGTTTTGTTTCCTAACAGAGGCTGGCACAAGGCCAGGCACAGGGAATACACTGTAAAGTTCATGCTAATTATGGAGAGCACAATGTGTTCAGCCAATGTAACAGAAGCATGCCTGAGAAGTCCCAACTATTCATCTTTAGTCCCAAGACTGTCATCTTTATCTTGATGAGGAAATATAAAATAAATAGCCAAGTACCATGTTCCTATCTACTAGTGAAAGAAAATGAGTTAAAGCATATGAAATATCACTGCAAAAGGAAATAGCCTTCATTTTTTACCACTAGTTTTATAACAATATAGAAATCTAAAGTGAAAATGGACAGAAAATGAAAAATGAACAAGTACATTTAATACATGTGTATCTGAGTATGTTTCCTAAGACACTTGAAGCTGTGAAGATCGAAAACCAAAAACAGTAACTACTCAATATTTGTGTGAAGAAAAATCAACTCTAAGAAGTGAAAATCTCTACAAAACTACAAAATGATAGCACATTAACTATAAGAAATATCCCCTTTATTTCAACAGATGATATTACAGAGTACATCACAATATATGCAGCTCATCGCAATTTATAAGAGTAAATCCTGAATTATTCCAAAGTTAAATTTGTAAAAAGCAAACCAATCCCAATGAACTTGATATCCAGTCGATAGTCTATATTTTTGAAATCAGTGTTATTACTACGAAAGTATAAAATGGAACCAAAGGTAACCTAATTATATCATTAAAATTGTGTATTAAAAACAGGATAAAATTTAACAGACATTTTTTCATGTGAGTAAATGTGTTAGTTGCATGTAGTTCATATAAAGACATAAGATGTACTGAGAATCAAAGCTTGTATTTATTGAGCACTTTCTATATATAAAATGTTATTAAATGTTTTCATAGAGACAATATCATGTGATTCAAATTTCACAAACAAAGTAACTAAGGCCAAGAGAAATTAACTAGCCTGTCCAATATCAGATAGCAACAATAAGTAGCAGAGTTAGAATTCCTAACTAAACACAGGAATAACAAAGAAATAAACTGTATATTGAATGTATGTCATCCATATGAAGAAGTTATTTTAAAACTAAACGTAATACTGGAATGTATTCACTATGAAGTGAGATGCATTATCTTGAATATAAACCTCTACTGTCAACAAAATTAACTAGAAATTATTACTCTTGCACAATGTAGGTTTCAGTTTGTTTTTTTTATCAGAAAAAAATTGGAATGAGGTTGTATATGACGAGAAAAATAAACCAGAGGAAACATTCGTGTTCTGTGAGAAGCCTAAGGGTTGAGTTCCTTTACATAGAAAATAAATGGTTGAGTTATTGCTGTTAAGTATACGAAGTTCTGCCATGCTGACGAAGCATAGACTTTTGTCTCTTTCTCAGAGGGTTGCCTAAATGAAAGGATGTTTAAATTACAGAGAATAAAATTCAGACAGACATAGGCAAAACTCCTTGACAAGAAGAGTTATTTTGTGATAAAGATTATCAAGAGAGGTCTTGGAATCTTTCTTTCTAGAAAGCATCCCCCAAATACTGATAATTTATTGCCTTTACTACTTAGCATGACATCCATCCTGGGGCTTTGAAGTCCTGATATATTATAGTTGGATTTCATTTCACTTATGTTTCTAGCAGTACAAGGAAGCTTCCCCTAAACTTTCATTTTTCCAAAGTTATTAGATTTTAACAGTTTCCAAAAAAAAACCTGGTCTTAATTCACTTAGAAATCATAAGTATCTTAATGAAGCAGATAGGAGAAGATTCAGGAGACTTGTTTATAAGTTGGACTCTATTCCTTTGAATGACATGTAACTCCAAGTCTATTATCACTAGAATATAGAGAAAGGAAAAGCAGAGTGTATTTTTTTTCCACAAGCAAGGTAGAGTTCATTCCATAGACAAAGATTGAACCTGGCAGCAGAAACAAACCCTGAAGTATATGATGCCACCTTAATTATTACCTGAAAATACAAACAATAATCGAGTTGGAGATTATAGGAAGATCACAGCTTTCCTAAAGGGCCTGGTATACTCGAAGCTCTGATTTCACTCTCTAAGTCTGCTACCATCCTATGTTTGAAAATAATCACCTCATTTACTGTGTGTAGATGCCTGTTTTTGTCCATTAGATAAATGAATTGAGAAAAATATAAATTTTTAGAAATGACAATCTGCTATTATTTTTTTATGTAGTATTTTTTTAATCCAGTGAAAAAACTGGGCAAGGCAATTAGGACAATCAGAAGATGAGCAAATTAAATTTCAGATTTTTCTCCACCCTGACTTTCAGAGTAAAAACTATTCATGTAATCAAAGACATAGCTACAGGAAGGCCTCATTCCTCCTCACAACTAGCAACTCTGATTCAGCCTGAGGAGCCAAAGAGGGAAATGGTGACCCTGAGGCCAGACAGTACATGATTTTTTTTATATCATTCACAATGAAGAGGTAGGAAGTCAAAGCCAACAGATTATTGTTCAGAAAATAGTTTCAGTGCTAAGTAAGAGACAAACTTTAAAGGTTCTGAGTAATAACTCTAGTATCAGTAGCCTCTTTTATATAGGACAATCCACAACACAACAAACCTTACATCCCTGTAAGAATAAAAACTCTTTGTTGCTGAAGACATTTCTAGAGAAATGTTCACTCTGAACAAATTGCTTCCAACCAAACAGAAAGGAAAAATCCAAATCCAATCAGACGAATATATTTTCTCATCTCGAAATGATTTTGTGAGTATGGAAATCTTTGCTTTTCCCATTGCATATTTTTGCTGACATTTGCTGTGATGAAGCTAAGGAGGTAGGGGGTTAAGATCTTTTTCCTGCCTTATTGTTTACCTTTCAGTCTGAGATTATGTGGATCTTCAGTTCACCTAAATCAAAACTCATGCTGCTTACTACGAGCTGTGTGCTTTGCCTCCTGCTGATCTCTCTAGCTTTTGTTGGTTTATTTGTTTTTGCCCACCCTTTTGCTCCCTCTCTCTGTTGCAAAGACACCTTCCTCCTGAGAGTAATCACACCAAGGTTTTTCTCATTCAGGCCCTTTGTATTTAGTTCCCTCTACCAGGGATGCTCTTTCCCCAACTCTTCATATGTC
This sequence comes from Homo sapiens, assembly GCF_000001405.40. Classification (NCBI taxonomy): domain Eukaryota; kingdom Metazoa; phylum Chordata; class Mammalia; order Primates; family Hominidae; genus Homo; species Homo sapiens. The sequence continues at coordinate 157,244,104 of NC_000004.12, read as the reverse complement.
CAGCTGGTTCTCATCTTCCTGGTCTCAGCTCAGGTCTTACCTCCTTAAATAACAGACCTTCCTCACTCAGCCTACCTAACATATTGTCTTCAACTAGTTCCTCCATCATGCTCCCTACTGATTTCCTTTAAAGTGCATTTCTCAAGCTATAATCTTTTTTTTTCTGCTTTTTTTTCTATTTGTTTATTATCATTCACCCATTCTAACATAGGCTCCATGAGCGTCCACCTTTCTAGTCTTCTTAATGTCTGCCCCTCAGAGCTTAGGACAATCTTTCATGCAGAGAAAATGATAACTAGATTCTGGTAAGCCTATGTAAAGCCTATGTGCATCCCAACTTACAGCCAAATATTGTGCCAATTAGGCACAGGTACATACAGCACACATCCTCACTTTTCTTTTCTTTATGTTTGTTAGCACTCTAACTTTCCCAGTGAAAAGAATAGCAAAACAAAAGTGGAAAAAACCTATGATAACAGGATTCACAAAAATTGTTGCTTAGACACCTCAAAGGAGTTTAATGTCCTTCAGTGCTTTAGATCTTTCTCTTTTAGGGGGCATTCACTACAAGAAAAGAAAAATAAAAGAAAATGCTTTGTCCTTCAGCTGTGCCACCATGAATTTGAATTGGGGAGAATAAGCGTGTTCATTTCCCCTCAATTTCTTCCACAGAGTTTAAAGTCAGACTCAGATCCAAATCCTTTCAAATCCAAGCTGCTTTTTCATCACAGGTAATTATAAACATTTCAGAGCAAGGTGAAATCCTTTAAACTCTATCAGATTTCTAAAATAAATAAAAAGCTATCTGTTTTGCCTAAACTGGCTCAAATCAAATAGAAACCATCTTCATTTTTTATGGATTTATTATTTGCAAATTTGCCTACTCTCTAAAATTTATTTGTAACCTCAAAATCAATACTTGCAGCACTTTTGCAGTCATTCATGGACATTTGCAGAGCAGTGAAAAATTGTTACCCAGCTCACATCTCCAGCTGAGATCAAACAAGGCAACACTCTGCCTTCTTGTGTCAGCTTTCATACTGTAAACAAGTGTCCTTTTGGGAATCTATTTAATTTCCATTTTTATTTTGCATCTTTGCACTTTTTGTTAGTAATTTCACTGTTTAAAGTGGTTCCCAAGCATAGATAGGAATTGCTGTCTAGCATTTTAAAGCACAAGAAGGCTGTGATGTGCTTTACTGAGAAAATATGTATGTTAGATTAGCTCCCTTCAGGCTTGAATTATAGTACTGTTGGCCATGTATTCAGTGTTAATGGATCAAAATATATTAAGAAAGATGTCTGTAAACAATATATATGAAATAAGATGTTTGTAAACATAAACAATGTTATGTATTGATCAGTTGATGAAAATGTTGTAATGAGAGGCTCACAGGAACCTAATTCAATTTCCCCTAGGAGCAATGGTTCAGTATTTGCTAATTCAGTGTTAGAGAATAATTTTTAGAACATAACTACTGTAAATAATGAAAATCAACTATAGATTCTTTTCAGGGGAAAAGTGGTAAACTTTTCTGAATGGTTATATGAGATTTGTAATCTTATCAGTACCTCTATCATCAGAAAGCATAAAATCAATCTGCCTCAATTTCATCAAAAAATATTACTTGGTGAACTGTACTTTCTCTCAACCATAAACATATTATTCACATGGTTATTGCTTCAGTGTGCTTTTATTTTCCGAGGCAACAAATCATCTCCATTATCAACAAGGTAACAGCTAAGAAAAAGTTGACAATAAACAATAAAATCCTGAAATCGCCAGGGCTCTGTTTCTTATATCAATTACTTAATAGTTTTTTTCCACTGAATATCTATCTGTTCATTACTAGTGTATTGCTAAAACATAGGTGAAGCCTTAACCTGACTGCCTTTTTAGAGAAGAAATTCTAGATATGAAGGTTATCATGATCTTCACATTTAAAATTCAAAACCATATGCTGAAGATAAAATATCAAAAAGATACAAAACATTCAACTATGCTGCCAACACAAGACTCTACCAAAAGAGTAAGATAGCAAAGATAAAATTGTGAATATAAGGTTTTACAGACTCTTGTAAAGAGAAAAGAAAAGCAACTTATAATTAAATACGAGAGAGGACTACAAAGATGAAATAAGATTGGTAATGTGGAACACACAAACCAAATGACTTATTATTTATGCCATTGCCTAAGTTGTTCTGCTCATCTCTTTCCCTTATTCTAATGCTCAGTGTTACTTTTTGTATCGTTTTCATCAACACTTAGAAACATGTTTCTTTTCTTCCAATGATGCTCTATGGTTTTCAAAATTCCATGAAAGCTGTATTTTCTAATAGCCATACAATGAGGAAGAGGGGATAAAGCAAATATGAGGGTAAGCATTATTTAGATAGAACCACTCAAGGCAATCTCAGAAGTGGATAGATGTTCTACACAGCCAAACAGATGAACGCTATCTAATCTATTTTAACTGCATTATATTAGTAAAAATGTTTAAAGCTACAATATCAGAAAAAAAGGATGTATGATCTTTTTTGTCTATGTTACACTAAATACAAGAAGGGCAAAATCAACTAAACAGATATCTAGAAAGAACTAAAAGAAATGGAGAGAGGCAAGTCCTCTACGTATTCATCCCTGAGAATTTTTCAGGTCTTCATGGGGGAATCTGTTTTCAAATTGAGTCCTAAATAGGATGGACTTTAAAAGTTCCCATTTAGATACATCACTGTGAATTTTTAGGTAGGACTAATGATAAAATCCTGAAAGCTGCCAAAAAGCAAATAATAAATGCACAAAAAACAAGAATTAGGCGTCTCAAACAACATCTGATGATAGAAAATAAGGCGGTCATTCCTTCCAAGTTCTAAGGAAATGTAATTTTCATCCTAGAAATCTGTATCCATCAAAGCCTTCAATCACATATGAGAGGAGAATTAAAACCATTGCAAACATGCAAATACTCAGATAATTTACCACCAAAATACCCGTTCTTAGAACTGGATTAAGAAAATGTGGCACATATACACCTTGGAATACTATGCAGCCATAAAAAATGATGAGTTCATGTCCTTTGTAGGGACATGGATGAAATTGGAAATCATCATTCTCAGTAAACTATCGCAAGAACAAAAAACCAAACACCGCATATTCTCACTCATAGGTGGGAACTGAACAATGAGATCACATGGACACAGGAAGGGGAACATCACACTCTGGGGACTGTTGTGGGGTGGGGGGAGAGGGGAGGGATAGCATTGGGAGATATACCTAATGCTAGATGACGAGTTAGTGGGTGCGGCGCACCAGCATGGCACATGTATACATATGTAACTAACCTGCACAATGTGCACATGTACCCTAAAATGTAAAGTATAAAAATAAAAGAAAAAAAAAAAGAAAGTAACTTAAGGAGGTGCTCTAGAGAAAATCAGAATAAGAAAAAAGAAATTAAAATCGACGGGTTCAGACAACAAGCCTCAAATCAAAAGAACAAAGAGAAGGTCCCAGTTGACGGGCAGTGCAATAAGATTAGAGAACATTGATTTCAAATTGCAGGAAGACAGAAAACTCCAGTGGGGTGCTGCCCAGGCATAAAGTGGAGAAAGAGATACATTAGGAAGGAAAGGAAATAAATAAAATGTAAGATAAAGTTCACAGTGCAAGAAAAACAAAAAAATGAGAAACTCCAAGATATTTCAAAAATTTTTGTGGAAAAAATGTAATTTAAACCTAGATTAATTGCTCCAAATTAGAACATAATTGATATTGAAGAAAAATTTAATGTATTCTGAGGAATAGAAATACTCAGTAAGATGAAAAATATTACGGATATCATGAAGGCATTTATGCCTTTTCCCAACATGGAAAAAGCTATCAATGAGGGATTTCATTAAAATATTATGCACACACACCCATGCATATACATGCATGCATGCACACTTATATGTGCGTGTGTATATGATTTATTATTTTAAAACTTGTTTTAAATAATCTATTGTAAGTAATAAAGAAAATGTATTTAAAGCATATGAAGAAATAAGTCAAGAAATAATTACATGGTCAACCACAAAAGGACAGTGCTATCTCAATATGTCAGTTGTTCAGGAGGATCAAGAGAAGCCAATCTAGTTTGCACAAGGAAGATGAATAAAGTCTCTTGAAAGACTAGAATACATGAATTAGATATACGATAGTAAGAACTTAAAAATATTTTAAAACCACATAATGTATAATAACATTTGGAAATTTCAAGTATACAGGAAAAATATATAAAAATGGAAAATCTAATCATAGCATGGTACTTGGCTCTGCATTGAATAATAGTCACCTAGCTATATATAGATGTGTAAACAATACTTATTGATTTTTCCATTTTTAAAGTAAATGACATCAAAAATACATGTATATATACATGTATTTACATATAAATACAAAGTAGAATATAGATGTTCTGAATCTTGACTCACGAATGTCATCAATTCATAAAGTAAGAAGTTGAAAGACAATCTTTCTAATTGTCAAAATAAGAAATATAGTTTCAAGTATATTATTAGAAATTATAATGAAAATAGAGCAATATAAAATTAACAACAGAATTATGTTATTAATATAGAATTAACCACTAGAAGAATTGGCAGAGGCAAGTTCTTTTCCATTCTGTCTTCCTCTGTTAGTGGAAATTTTAAACATTTGCAGATATATCAGAGGGAAGCACATTCCAAAAATAAACAAAAATTGCACATCTTTGAAACAGTACCTTTTAAAAAGTCATATACAAAATTGAAAGAAAAAAATAAACCATGGAAAAGAATTAAATACGTTTTGATTAGCAAAGGAGTGTCATATATTATAGGCATTATTAATATTCACCAATACACAGTTCTATTCTGGACATAAGGAGGATTAGTCTCCAACCCCTTGAAGTTGGGTATTTCATGGGAATAGTTCTAATCAATGACATCCAAGCTGATGTGGCATGGTTCTTGCCTCGGCAGAAGCATTAAATTGCTAGATGTGCAACTCTCTAGTCCCATCTTCCTCTGTCATAGTCATCTTGAATAAACAACTCATACAATTCAATAGGAAAAAGTACCGCAATGACAATAAAAATTGGGCAAAAGACTTTAATAAACTGTTTATGAAAGAAGAAACATAAGTGTGCAATAATAAATATGAAAAACTATTTTATATAACAAAAAATATTTTTAGGTATCAAATAGGTAAGAATTTTAAAAATTGTAACAATGATGCACAGGGTATGAAAGACTAGACTTTTCATAGACTATTGATGGGATTATAGTCTGGATTGGATTTCCTTAGCATATATCAGAAATTGATTTACTTAACTAAACGCTTCATGGCCTTTAATCCAGTAATTATACTTCAGTCATCAGAAATGGTGAAAAATACATATGCAAAAGAAATTTCATTTGCAGCAGTGTTTTGTAATGGATAAAAGAAGAATTTTTAAAAACTTGCAAAAATGGAAAAGAAATGATTGGTGTGAATATTATGAAGCTATGAAGTTTACAAATGGCTTTAATGCAGTTCTGCTCATGTAGATTTATTTCTTTCAAAAAGGCAAATTTTCTTCTATCAAAGATACATTAAAATATAAGCAGATGAGTAGAGTCTTGCAGATTAAACAAAAGATATTGCTTTAAATTATACTGAAAGTTAAAATCTTTCCACTTTAATGCTCATGGAAAGCCAATGGGTCTTCAAGGTCTTTGCTCATCTTTTGCCCCTATCAATAAGCCCACATTAAGTTCATAGTTCTACAAAATAAAGTGGTTAAAGATTTATAAATTTCCCTGACGGTTGGCCAAAAATACACAGTTTATGACATGCACCATAAGGCAGGCTGAAAGTATATCTTGACGCAAGTAACTTTCTAGAATTTTATTTAGTATTCCAGTTTAAATCAAATTTATGTTATAAATAGCTTGATATTTGGCTTTAGGTAGAGCACATAACTGATTCTTAAGACAAACCGGGGATGAAACTAAATACAGTGTTAGTTAATGAAGCCATAGTAACTGAGTTCCTTCACCTTTCTTTATTGCATATAGATTGCGGTCTTTAGTTTTAACATTCTATTTGTGAACACATATGGATTGTTACACTGAATTAACTTCAAAGTGATATTCAAGAACCAAGACATAATCGTAACCCATTACTTAAATCTTGATATAGGTTAAGAAATATGCAAAACGAGTAGTCCATTTAAGTGATATTACTGCTATGACACAAGCCAAAAAAACATAATAACATCCTTTATTTATCCCTCTGGGCTCCGTTAATGTTCAAAATCTGACATCCTCTTTTATTGATCTGAGACCCCAGAAACACAAAAGCACAATTTATGATAACAACACTGCTCAGGAAACAAATGCCTTGCATGACTTTACATCTCTTTGCTTGTAATACAGTTTTAATTTTCTTTATTTCACACTCTGGGTAAATTCCCTATTTGTTTGTAACTCCTTGAGGAATTATTTACTTAAGAAAAAAATCTGGGCCAAGTGCAGTGGCTCACACCTATAGTCCCAGAACTTTGGAAGGCCAAGATGGAAGGATTGCTTGAGGCCAGGAGTTTGAGACTAGCCCGGTCCACACAGTCAGACTATTTTTAAAAATTAACCAGGCAGTGGCATGTGCCTGTAGTCCCAGCTACTCAGGAGGCTGAAGCAGAAGAATAACCTGAGCTCAGGAGTTTGCGGTTACAGTGAGCCATGATCATGCCACTGCACTCCAGCCTGGGTGGATGACAGAATGAGACTTTCAAAATTAAAAAAAAAAAAAAAAACTTATACATTTCAAATCAATGAAGTAAAAATTCATGTTTATATACGTTGTGACAATTGGCTAACCTTACGAAGGAAAAATAAAACGGGATTCTGTAGGTTTTGTTAATCACATAAAGCCAGATGATTCAATGATTTATCTGGAAACATAATACCAAAATATGATGGTATTAAAGCACAGGCAGTTTTTTAAAAAAAATAAACTACGGTGGGAAATGTTTTTCTGAGCAAGGCACAAAATTCCTGAGGAAATTAAGCAAACAATTTCTAAATTTTACTAAATAAAATTTAAGAATATGTGTATTCATAAAAATCATGAACTGAAATTGTCATTCCAAAAAGCGATAAACAGGTTAAAAAGACACAAAGCTGGGTAAAACAGCTGAAACACATCACAAGTGTGCTACTTTAATGTATGTATCAAATAATAATAAGTAGACTCACCCATAAATAGACCAACAACCCAAAAGAAAATCGGGCAAAGGAATGAACAGGTGTGTTTATGCACACACACATACATAGAAATACAAATAACGTCTTACCATAGTAAATGTAAACAATAAGATACCAAGAGCAAAGCTTTAAAAAATTTAACCTTGTGATATTAGGCAGAAACAGACATACTCATACACTCTAGGTAGGGTTGTAAATTGATATGCCTTTTTTGTATATCCAGCAAAGTTTTAAATGCAAACACTTTTTGACTACAAGTTATTCCACTCATAGCAAACTATTCTACAAACCCACTTGGACATATTATTAAAAGAAACAGCAAAAATGAAAACAATCATCAACAAAAAGGCCACATAACAACAGAATACCATGCAATAACTAGAAAAAAAGAAGAGGAAAATCTCTGCACATAAAAGCAGAACTCCGATTTATGTTAAGAAGAAAACAATCAAGATAAAGAACAGTGTATATTATGCTACCATTTCTGGAAACCATCAATGGTGATTATCTCAGAGACATAGAAATGAGGTGAAAGAAGACAATATTTATTATATCCCCGTGTGTAGTGTTTTTTTTAAATTACCATATGCATGATTATTTTCATCACAATTTTTAAGCTTCAAAATATAAAGACCACAAGAAGCTAAATTAAAATTTTCTGCATGTTTTACATTCTAAATCATCCATAGTACCAAAATGCTATTGTAAGCAAATATTTTAATTCTATTAGATAATTTTTGTTACATGTTAAAGCTGCATCAACTTTTTTCAGATAATCATGATTTTCTACCTGAAATTCTCAAACCCCTATAATAACCAAGGTTTAAATTATATAAAATCTGTTTTAACAAGAGACACTAGCAAGGTGTTAGTGTCTCTTAGATTATTCAAAATAGGTATATGCATTGACATTTTAAAGTATTTTGTAAAACTTACTATTTAAAACCTGCAACTAGCTTCTTCAGTAACAACCTAAAATAGTATTTATTATAATTAATTAGTTAATCCCCATAATTTATGTAAACATCACCCAGCAATTTATGTAGTCTATGCCAGTTTAAACTGATTTGAAGAGATTGTGGCAATGAAAGAAAAAAATCATATGCAAAATAAAATATAAATTTTCATCTCCAAATATGATGCGAAAAATTGAAACTTTTTAACAGATCTGCAATTGGCATTATTAGTTTGTTAACAGCAGTAGTACTCATTTGGCTACCCAAGTTTTCAGCAATATATTCTAAATCAGTATTTAAGATGATGGCTTTTCACCTTCCATTGAGAATCTTTTTTATGTTTTCTTTACAATTTTTTGAATTACCATTTCTGCTTTTAAGATAATTTAAAATCTAGGCCCAACGTATAGGATAATATTTATAAATGATCTAGAAATAATGTCTATTACCGAGACTAATGTAATCATAAAATCATCTAGCTAACCTACATTAACAACTTCTACTTTTGCCACAAAGAAAAGATTTTGAACCCATAAAAAATGTTCAATACAGAAGCCTTATCTTGTTCTTTGTCACCTCAGACAATAACAGATTGGTACAGAGCAGGTATCTACTAAAAGTTTAAGAAAGGAAGAAAAGAAAGAAGAAAATCTTGTGATAGGTTTTTGGTGCATACAAACAAGGTAGATAAAAGCACTTTAAAGATAAGTATATAGCTTTTATCCAGTGTATTCTACTTCCAGCCCAAATCCAAAGTCATGGATATAACTGTTGTGTAAATATACAGATTTGCTTTAAAAGAGTAATTTTGACCAAAGGTCTTATGATCCTACATTGAAGAGTTCATATGGCTGCTGTTACTGCAATATAAGGCAACATAAGAAGAATAAGAGTCAATTCAGAATAAGGTAGTGAATATTTCATGAACTACACAAAGTTCATATGTAGGAAGTCCTTATTTTTACTCATTGTCAGTAAGTAAAAATCTTCCCCCAACCACCCCGCACAACTGCACATCTCTCTGCTCCCTAAGAGAAATAATCTCTGACCAAGTAATTATTTGAAAATGTTTCAAACCTTCCAGACCTTTCAGCAGACTAGAAACAGGCAAAAGAGCCTCCTTATACTGTGCTGGGGAATAAACTTGTGAAAAAGATGATAGTGACCTAGACAACCAGCAGCAAGATGCATAAAACTGATCCTCACGGAAGAAGTCACAATGAACCTGTTCCAAGTTTAATAAGGTCCTATTCGTGAGAAACACCTACCATCATTTTTATTGCACAAATGTATCAGTGGTGGAATTGGTAACTGAATAGTATCAGATATTCACACTAAATGTTAACCATCATCTACATTTTTTAAATTATGCATGATTTAGTTCTTGTTATTTATCCATTGAATTTGGTGGGGGGAGGGTTTGTGGATCAAGAACACATCAAAATTCTTGTAAAATGTACATGTTCACTAGTATTCTAAAAATGATAATAAAGTAAAATCCTAGCCTCTATTTTCAGCTTGAATGGTTGTATTATATTAAAGAAGTTTATTATTTTGAAAATTACATAGAGAAAACTATTAGCTACCTTCCCTTCCATGCACCTATAAGCACGGAGCTAAGTATATCTGACCAATATATACTCAGGGGAATTGGAATCACTGAAATTAGCAGTATTAATCACTATATTATATGCAGCAGTTACTATCATTTAAACCTGATAATTACATCATGAGGCAGGCATTATAATGAACCCCATTTTACAGAGGAGAAAACAAGACTAGAAAGTTTAGCTGATTAATACAAAGTCATAGAACTAGTAAATAGTGAAGCCATAATTTTAATTCATGTCTGTTTATTCAAATATACTAGCTATGTTGCCAACTGAGACCAATAGAGGCTCTGGTTTAGGAAGTAGCCAACTTGTTTTGTAGCCAAAAGCTTCTCCACAAATTTATAGCAGCTAAGAACAAATCACATAAATTTCTGTTTTGTTTTCTGTAAATGGGTATAATAACAATTCCACTTATGCTACCGAGCTTTACAGAGCGACAGTGAGGATCAACCAGATATGGAAGTGTTTCAGAAAGAAAAAAATTATACATAAAGCTATAAAATATCTAAGCTTTCTCAAGGCAGCACCTTCCTCCATTGCTTTGAGCATGGGGTTTAGGTTTTATATCAGTAAAGGGCTGATATAAAGGGAGGAAATAAATACTGGGAACGTTTCTGACAAATTAATCTAAGCATTTATTTTCTCATATAATGCCTCCAATAATATTATCAGATATGACAAGGAAACTGAGCCTTATTCTACAAAGAGAAAAAAACACATGCTGTATCACAAAGTTACTAATTACATTCAAACCTATTTTTGCCTAATTCCAAAGCCTATGTTGCTTGGCTGATTTTCATTTAAATAAATTTAATTTAATTAATTACATAAAATAAAACATTAGGAATCCATAATGTGCTCAGTTCCATTAAATATTGAGATATCTTAAATATGTGCTTGAAATATCTGCTAAAAATATGAGAGTTTGAAATTGTTCAACATCCTAAGATGTAAGTGACATGCAATAAAGGGGAAGATTGAATTCAAAGTACTACTCGAGTAACACCTCAGGTTTTAAAAATCATTCTCGTCCTATAGTGCACCAAATATATCTTTCAGTGACTTATGTGATTTATTTTGTTAGTCTCTTCTTTGTCACCGAAAGGCATTATGTCCTGCCCAGGTATACAAACAGTAGGAAAAGATTCCAGCAAGAAAGTTAGAACTGCATTTTTCTTTGTCTTCTGCCTCTAATAGCAAGTGCTCATCAAAACAATCCAAAAATTCTAATACAGGAAATAATAATAAAATATTGCTAATTTTATGTACTTGTGCCAAACACAGCTCATAGTGTTTTATGACTAATGCGTATCTTGCAAACAATCCTATAATGTCTGTTTCCCTTTTACAGAGGTAGAAACTGAGATGTAGACTAAGAAACTTGTCCAATGTCATACATCTAGTACAAGGACTAGAATTTGGTTCTAAGTGCAGATGCTTAACCCATGCTATTCTGTATCCCAAGACACCAAGGCTACAAACTACAACGAATCAATTTTTTTTAATCTTCGCAGATGAAAAACTTGTGTATTCATCATTAAGATGACAACCCTGAACTTGTGTGTGCTCTGAAATATAAAGATGAGGATTTTATGGTCCTTCCCTCCAAAGAATAAACTATATACAGCGCTTCCTTGTATCCCTTTCTGAATTGTTGCCTGTGTTCTCAAAATTTCCTTTCTGTATGTAAATTAGTAATAATAGCATAAACTAGTAAAAACTAAAAACCTGGTAAAAAATATAAAAGTAAAATGATAAATGATGAAAGTGCTTGAAAATTATAAAGCCAAAATTCTCCCATTTCATGCACAGATTAAAAGCAAGATAGAAATTCTTCAATTTCTCACAAACAGCAGATAACACACGAATAAAGATGAAAATCATGACATGATTTGAAATGTACTTCTCAAGAAAACCTAGCAAAGCACACACACCCTTATAGAGAGCTCCACTTCCAGATCTTTCTCTGCCAGACTTGCAATGATGAGAGATGCTTCACTCCCATGCTGTAGAAATGTGGGAGCTATTTCTGTGCTACCTGGATCAGTGAACACAGGCAGCCCCTTAAATATATGGAATTCATAATAGCTAACATAAAGCCCTAAAGGAATATGTTTTCAATTTTCCAAGTTAGCATCACTAAAGTGTGTATGACAATATTTTCAAATATATAGACCAAACTAATTATTGCATATGTTATGGTCCTTATTTTTCAGAATAAAACTACTCACTGTGTTCCGTATTTTAGTCTTAAATTGTCCTTTGAATAACTTTTGAATAGTTAGCCTCAATGACAAAATATTACATATCATTTGAGAATTATTATTAAATATTCTTCCAAGACATACTAATACTTTTTAAACACATGTAGAATTGTGAAAAATAATTTAAATCCAAAATGTTTTTATTTTTAAAACACTAAAAATATTTTAATTTTTTTAAAAAATATCTTCAACTTAGGTGTTAAGGAAATAGAAATATAATACCAGTATAATATAAAACAAGAGACAAACTTTTCTCTGTTCTACTAAGATGAGCCCCGTCAGCAATTATCAAGAATTGCTACATTTCAGTTACCTCAAGCAACAGACAACTTTACTATGACACATTCCATGCTCCCTATAAAATGCAGTCTAGTCGTACATTCCATATTGTATATTTTTACCTATAAAATTTTTCAAACCTTTTCAGTCAGTATTTTACCTCATAATTTTCAAGGATGGCTTTTTTGCCAGCCCAGAATAATAAAGCACCTTAAATTTGTGTTTTTTCCTCAGAGAAATGCATATTGTTAGCCGAGGATGGTTGCTCATGCCTGTAATCTCAGTGCTTTGGGAGGCCAAGGTGACAGGATCGCTTAAGGCCAGGAGTTCAAGAGCAGCCTGATCAACATGGTGATAACCCGTCTGCAAAAATAAAAAATAAAATTGCGACCAGGCATGGTGGCTCACGTCTGTAATCCCAGCACTTTGGGAGGCCGAGGTGGGCGGATTGCCTGAGATCAGGAGTTCGTGACCGGCCTAGGCAACACGGTGAAACCCCATCTCTACTAAAATACAAAAAATTAGCCAGGCGTGGCGGTGTGCACCTGTAGTCCCAGCTACTGGGGAGGCTGACGCAGGAAAACTGCTTGAACCCAGAGGCGGAGGTTGCAGTGGGCCGAGACTGCAACACCACACTCTATCCTGGGTGACAGAGCGAGACTCCATCTCAGAAAAATGAAAAATAAAAATAAAAAATAAAATAAAATTAGCTCAGCGTGATGGCATGGACCTGTAGTCCCAGCTACTTGGGAGGCTGAGGCAGGAGAATTGCTTGAGCCCAAGAGCTCAAGACTGAAGCGAGCTGTGATAGCTCTACTGCACTCCAGCCTGGGGAACAGAGCGAGACCCTTTCGCTAAGAAATAAAATAAAATAAAATAAAAGGAAAAAAAATCAAAACCAAATGCATAGTGCCTCCTTTCTTTCATGTCTCCCTCTAGAAATAATAACTAGCTTCCATTATTTGACAAAATTAAAATTATTATAAGAATTCACTGTTCTATAGTAGCTCAAGGTTAATATAGAAGATTGACCACAGACATGCAAACTAAGCAAACATCAAATGAAAGAGATGCTTAAACAAAAAAAAGGAAGAAAGGAAGCAGAAAGGGATGGATGGAGGGAAGGAAGAAGGAAGGAAGGAAGGAAAGAAGGAAGGAAGGAAGGAAAGAAGGAAGGAAGGAAGGAAAGAAGGAAGGAAGAAAGGAAGGAAAGAAGGAAGGAAGGAAGGAATGAATTAATTTCGAGTTGCAAATTCTTACAGCCCTGCCAAGTACACCAAGTTATGCTGCCTCTTAGAGTTTTTCCCTTTTTCTCCACAGCTTTCCCGCCATCACTTTTAAGAAATATAGTAATTTCAATCTACAATAAGGAAAAAAATATTTTCCCTTACCTTGAAACTATTTGTTTGAACATGCCCACTCTATCCTTTTATTCATGCACAATAAATAATATATATAAAAAAATTGTTGACATATTCTTACTGCAATATCTTGAATACTGATGCTAGAGAAATTGTAAAATGAATGCTAAATCTGAAACAGAACGGTATTTTGATACAGAGAATTTTAGCTGCAAAGGGTTTATGAGCTGAGGAAACTTTTCTTATATCAAGTTATTTAACTTGAGTTTCCATTAAATTTATGCTGAAGTTAGACATTATTAATTTAGGTCATATTCTATTCTTGTAGGGATAAAGAATCAGGTAATATTCTACTATGCTTTAACAAGCATAGAATATACTTAGTTTATATAAACACATTTCAGTCATTTCTATCAGTAAGTTGGGTACTTAGGAAGATTAGACTAAAAATATTTACATTGCAGGAGTACCTTCTCAGGTTCACTGAAATTCATCAGCGTGAAAGTATTAGAGGACTATAACAAGTAAACATCATAGCATTTATCATGTGAAATCAATTTTACATGAAGGGAAAATAAACTTCATAGAAATAAAATACCCTATTGAAAGTATTTTAGAAGAACTAAAATTTAGGCCATTTCACAATTCAACCCAGTTTGTGTTTATATTTGAAATACTGAAACAATCAGGAAAAAATGTAAGTATTAACATAACCATAAATATATAAAATTATGAAGTAAAATTCTGAAGAAAAATCCAAATAGTAAAACTATAAACATTACATATGTCATTTGTTTGAGAAACATGGATACAAAAACGTAAGCAATCTAAGAAGATAGCTACTCACCAATTCCCTTTCTATAAGGAACCTGGTATCTCCTAAATTTATTTGTTCTATTCAGCTGAAGATACCAATAAATTTCAAGACTCTGTTGTGCTTTTTTGAGGCAAGTTTTTGCCCTGTCACCCAGGCTGGAGTAGTATCAAGCACTTTGGATGATTTTCCCAGTAATATGATAATGTGTGAAAAATTAAACATATAATAACAAGGTGTTTCACCCAAGAAAATTATCCACAGAATGAAAATAAGACAAAACAAAATCGTTAGAAAACAAACCCGAAACATAAACTGCAGGCCCTAAAAAGAAAAAATAAGGATACGCATACAAAATAATTGCACAAATTAATGCAAATAGAGCAATTGGTCCACAAAGAGAAACTATGTCCAGAAACTTCTCTTCCTAGATACCATCTAAAATGTAAAAATAATACTTTTGTGATTCTGTACATTTTTAAAATTAATTAAAGGAATTGATATAGAAAATTGTAGTATAAAATATCCTGGTTGGGGGCAGGGAGGGAGTTACTAAAACAATTCTGTGTCCATTCAAGGACACATTTTTGGAACATCTAAAACCAAAATTGAAGCTTGGCAGACCCATAACGGTCAGGGGCCTTATAAGGGCATCTCCTGTTCTACCCACTTGTAACAAGGTTCTTGCTTTTGGGTTTTTTTTTGGTGGGGGGAGGTGGGGGGGTCATTCTTTTTTCCTTCTTTTTTTTTTTTTTTTTTTTGAGATGGAATCTTGCCATCTCCAAGGCTGGAGTGCAGTGGTGCTATCTCGGCTCACTGCAACATCTCTCTCATGGGTTCAACCGATCCTACTGCCTCAGCCTCCTGAGTAGCTGGGACTACAGATGGGTGCCACCACGCCTGGCTACTTCTTGTACTTTTAGTAGAGACAAGATTTCGCCATGTTGGCCAGCCTGGTCTTGAACTCCTGACCTCAGGTGATCCACCCGCCTCGGCCACCCAAAGTGCTGGGATTACAGGCATGAGCCACTGAGCCTGGCTGCAACATGGTTTTTGCATCATCCTAACAGTTAGCATTTATAAATCCTCTTCAACATGTATATTGTACATATATTCAGCATATCATTTTAACATACATCAATATAGCTTTAGAGATAAAAATAACAACTTTGACAATATCTAGGTTGTAGATGAAAGTGAAAAATATAATACACCTCTGTCTAAATAGGATTCAAGGAAGGTACAAAGTAAATTGTGTATTCTGAAATCCATATGTATAGCAAATACAAAATTCTAACTTTAAAAATTATAATGTTATGATAAGAACATCTACTGTAAAATTAAATGTGTTGAATAGGTAAATAACTATTAAGTGAGTCGGTGCACTGGGAACTGAGCTAGACTTCGTGAAGAACACACAGTTAACAGCAGCAAGGGCCTGTCTTCAACAAGCCCACATTTTACATTCTCCTCGTTAATTTTAAAATGTTTTCATTCTATAAGTTAAAATTATCAAAGATGACAAAAAACTTTTAAATTGAATAGCACTGAAAAATAATAGGTGTTAGACATCTTATGAACAGCATTGTAAGAATCACATTCCTTTTTTTTTCCAAACTAGTAAAATCTGATTTGATAGACATTTTGATGTTTGAACATTTTCAAATCATGTGTGATTTTCTAATTTTAACATTGAATTCAGCAACTTATTTTCCTATTGTACTGAAGAGACACAGTCATACAAGAGATTTGGCAATTATGTAGATCTTTGGAGAAAACCTGAGAAATTTTTATTTAAAATTGCTATAATAATAAAAGAGCAAACACTTAATGAAATCTGGGGTATCTTCAGTACAATCTACTGTAAAAAGAAAGGAAATATAATCTACCCAGCTGCCATTAACATTTCAATCAAATATTTACATCAAATACAAGATTTTAGCTCTGAATGAATGCACTCTCTGCTCACATAAGAAAATGTTTAAAGGACAGTTCTCTATCTCAATTTAGACTTTATTTCTTGTAATAGCATTTGCTCTGCAGATTAAGTACTTCTATTGACTTTTTTATAAAAAGGGAAGAGGAGGAAGAGAGAAAAAACACATACTCTCTGAAAACTTGATTATATAGCAACATACTGAAATAACTCAAAAACAACTGCTCTTTTTCACCCTTCCTTAAAATTTTCAAGGTTCTAAGAAGTTTGAAAGTTTGCTAAGTGTTATTGGAAGAGATTATGAGAAAACTTGAGATCTGGGCATGAATCAGCATCCACTTGTCATAATGTCTCAGTACAATGTCCCTAGCACTTTAAAGGCTTGATGTGAAATGAAAATACCCCATCCTTCTTGAGCCAGCAGGTTGAAGTTTGCAAGACTTTCAAACAGAAATAGCATAGCATAAGAATAAATTTTTACTAATTTAAGCCTCTATAGTTTCATAAGGTAATTTTTATTTCAATACTTAGTTTCTCTCATCTCAAAATAGAATATTTCAACCAATGCCATTCTTTGATTTCTACTTAATACGCACTCATTTTCTTGAAATTCTTCAGTGATAAGTGAAGTATGAAATTTTAACTGAAAATACTTCAATAACAGATTAATTATTCTGACATACAAAGAGGCATTTCCTCAAAATCTGCAATTGAATATAACTGAATATTTACAACACCAGCTTTTACGGTATTGTGTCCCTGGCACATGTGTTCATGGTTTGTCATCATTGCTTAAGAAAGTCCAACTTGAGTCTAGTTTTATGAAAGTTTTGCATATATTAAAGTCAGTAACTCTAGGTGTTAGTAAATACCTCAACAAACATGACAAAACAGGATCGCGTAGCCAATCTGTAACTATTTACACTCTATAATTGTAACTATAAATACATACACACAGAAGTCCATTCATCCAAGTGCAATAAAGTCTTAGCAAACATCAATTAATTTTATGAACACAGATACAAAAATCTCAGTAATTTGTGACTAAAATTTAATAATAAATACAGCTCAAAAATGATAGCTGGGGAATCGAGATTAAAAATGTTGAAAAAATATAATTTTAGAATTCTCTCTCCTCTAAGAGCATTTACAATCTATTCTAACAGTCTTTATCTTCTAAAACATAAAATATAGGGCAACCTATTTTTAAAAGGCAATGAAAGTTATTTTTAAGACAGCATTTTGAATAATTTTCTTCAAATTAGATGTCATTTATTTTTTTCAATTTATCTAAATAAATTTCTTTACAATGTTTTAAAAGGCATTCGGTGTGCGCAACAGTTTTATGAAACAACAATATTTTCTCCAACATCTCCATCTGCTGGCTTGGAGAAAAAGTAGATTTTTATTTGCTGTTTCCTTCAATTTAATATTTTTATAATTTATTTTGTTGTATGGAATTGAAATATAAAACTATTAAATCATCTTTAACTAGACTAATAACTATTTGTAAAATTCAGTCTTCAAAAGAAATAGAAAGGGAAGGTTCTGGGGAGTAAATTCAATATTTAATACTTTTAATTTTCAAACCCTGTAGAATCAAGTACTCATGTTTATAGCCCTTTTACACAGTTTTATTTTAAGCAAGCTTTACCAATTAGCATAGCATCAAAGTTTACTAAAATCTTTTATAATGTAAAAATACTTAGTATTTTCCTAAAATTTGCTATTGATTTTCTCAGTTAACTACATACAATACGTGGTGTATATATATATTAATATGAAAGTTACTATTTTCACAAAAAGGCAGATTTTTTTAGTTGCTGTATTAAACCGCTTGTGTTTAAGAACTACTGGAATACCCTCATATCCTCATACTAAAGTTCCTAGACAAGACCACAGCTACCAATGCACACTAAAGGCATGAAGGCCTACAAGGTTTTGAAAACTATTCAAAAGAGCCTAGAGGGAAAAGGCTAGAAAAAAAAAAAAAAGTTAACATGAAAAAAAGCAGTCATTTATTCTCTGACACCTTGAAGGCACTCACTAAACATTTATTGAATGAATGATTGGATTCCTAGGACCCATCCCTGGTTTCAACTGTTCTACACATCAGATACTAATCTCAGATTTTTTTCTGCTTTTATGCTTTGTATTTTTAATAATGAAGGCTTACGTTTGAACAACCTTCAGGAAAAAAAATCTTAGTTCTCTTTTCAGCTAAGAAGACAGGGAGGGAGGAAAGGAAAAAATGAGTGAGGGGAGAGAGGAAAAGAAAAAGGGAATGATGGAGAAAAAATGAAAGAAACTGAAAATCTGTCTTACTGCCTCAGGTACCCATGGAAACAAATGGAACAAAATAGGTACTTTCATTATCCCACTGTGATTGTGAAAGGGAAGGATGTGGGAGCTCAGTAAGATGCACACAATCATTTTACCCAGTTCAGAATAGAATGACTTCATTTTCTTTGTATAACCTTAACCCATTCAGTGGATCTCCCTGGATCCTCATATCAACGTCCACTTCAACATTTCCAAATAATTTCCTCCATCTCAGGAATAAAATTAAATTAGTAAACTAATAAATTTTCCCTTTTGAAGTTGTATTACTAAGGTATAAAAATCCACTTTTTAATACGTAAATTTAGCTCTGTGGGATTTTTATGATTGGAAGAGCAAGCTATTTCAAGAGCATTGCAAGATGATACCTATCATCTAATAATGTCATTAGATAGCAAAATTCCTGAGATTTCTAGAGGAAATGGGAAAAAAGATGTTTAGATCTTAGCTGTCAATGTATTTAATGCTGTTGCTTCCACTTTATAAAGGAAAGAATCACAGACTTCCCTGAATAAAAAGGCAAGAAAACAAAGGATAGGCATTGGAGAAAAATCTTAAGCAGGATTTAAACGATCAAGACCCATGCTGACAAATTTAACACTAGAGATTTTCATCCATTTCTTGACTTTGTGATTGTAGTTTACATAAGCATCTTTCCCTTTCCCTCTCTCTCATTCTGTCTCAAAAGAGTTAAACTAATTTTACATCTTCTATTGTCCATAGCACAAAAACAAACAAACAAAAAAGGATACAAATTCTCTATTTCATTTTGCAATCTCTAAATTTTGAAATGTCTCAGAGAATAAAAAAACGGAGTCACAAACATGTTAAGCGATTTGCCCAGTCAATGAGTTAATGTCAGCCCCAGAAATTTCTATCCAATGAGCCTCTCTTCTGTCACAGTACCCCCCTAGTTCTTTTTAGCAAACAGTAAGATTACTTATAACATGGGAGTTGCAAATGTCATGCTTTTGAATTATCATGTTGTCATCTTTAAAATGTGTTCAGTTCCTGAAAATAATTTGTTTTACTATCCTACTATAATAATCCATGCAGGGGTAATTTTAGTCTCTGGAAATGTGAACATATTTATTTTAGCTTCACTTCCTGAGGAGGGGAAAAAACTGTGCAAATGAAGACTTGATTATTCCAGCTTCTCAGAACTATGGACAAATTAAATTGTGTGGTAATTTTTTAAAAGAAGTCCACATGTTGATTACATGAATGTGTTCACCCTGCAAATATATGAATTTACATATGTGTTTAATATATACACATATTCTGGCTATATATTTTATTTCAGAAAAATTTCTATTTAAAAATTCAAAAATATTGAGAATGAGTATCTAAACCTAATAACCTAATCACAGTCTTTTATCTTTATAAAGCCCCAATACAGTAGTTTAGCATTTGTTGAAATCAAGGAATATTCATTTTGTCAATGGACATATGTTATTTTTGCAGAAAGTTCTTCTCATTATTTTCACCAATGAGTGAACTTGGCAATCATTGACTGTTTTCAAAAAGTACAGCTGTCAATACTTTCACTTCACATTCAAAACCTATGTCCTTCCTATACCCACAGCCGTTCCTTAGGAGTCATTACTTTTCAAAGCATTTTCACATAAGTATACAATTACACACAGTTAGATACTCAGAACAGTTGCATGACAAACTTGTAATTCAGGAAAAATTGGAACTTACTGATATCAAATGAATAGTCTAAATCTGTTAGGTAAATAGGTCAAATATAGAAGTCTTCAAATTTTAATTAAGTTGATTTCTTTGTATGTCATGTACTAAAATTTTCTGAGATATTCTATTACGGACGTTTTTCAAAGCTGCAAATCCACTTTAATTCTCCTCTTCTCTCTTTCGTTCTGTACCCCCACACCCGCCCTTCTTTCTTTTCTTACTTGGCACCAACATTTGAAGAAAATATATAGCAGTGAAACCTTCTTAAATAGATCCATTATAAACAATTAAATCCTAAATTACCACACAATGCCCCTATTCTATCAGTCTAAGAAAATTGTTTCTTCATTCGTCCGGGTGACAGTAGTTGCAAGAGTTGATGATGGGCCCAATATGATAATCAAGCTAAATCACGGAATATATGACTAAAGCTTAAAATGGGGAGGAGGGATGGCAACCAGTTGTTTGTGTGACGTGGGAAAACTGCAGTTGGGCTTTTCCTGTGGTAATTTTCCCCAAGCTCTGTAGCCAAAGTGGGAAGTGAGCCATCCGCAGATCTCCCCCAAATTGTTATCTATGAAATAACGACTGCGAATATTAGGGCAGGAAAGAATCACCGCAGGGCAGTCGGCAGGAAATGATGGCAGCTGCTGGGAAGAGGGCAGGAAGGCACAGTGGCCGCGACTGCCTGCCCACGCCTGCGCGGGGGAGCGAGCGCGGGGACCGGAGCCCTCTGGCCTCCACACCAATCCTTTTAGATCCCTAATTGTTTGGTTTCTAGTACTTTATCTGAACCCATCACAGAGCTTCCCAGCGAGTCCCGGAGCACTGCGCGGAGTGAGAGGGTTAATATGGAGCATTGCAAAGACTAAAATGGCTGATCAGCGACTTCTCCAGATTTTCAAACTCGGCCAGATCCCACGGCTTCCCAGTCCTTTTCCCCGGCTGCCTCTGCTGGAGCCCAGCTACCTGAGAACAAAGCGCGCCGGGCTGGCAAGCTGACCGCGGCGCCCCTGGCGGCCTCGCCCCCTCCAACTTAAGCGGAAGCGCAACTGAGCAGGAGAAATTGACAGCGCTCCCCCTTTCCACCGCCTCCCCGCCCCACCCCCACGCCACCCGGCCGGCCTGAGCCTGCGTCAGCCCCGCTCCTCGCCCCTCGGGTGGGCGTTATGTAACAGCCCCGATCCCAACTCCGGAACCATTTCAACAACTTGTCCCAAAGAGGAGAACATGGAGCTCGCGAGGGCCGCAGGGTGAGCCCAGCCGGTGCTGCGGATCTAAACTGGGGGCAGCGGGCGAGAGCGGCAGCTGCTGGGGCAGGAGGCCACTGGGCTCCGGCAGTCCCTCGTGGGATTTGTCCAACAGCCCGACTGCGCGCCCTGGGGAACAACGTGTTCTCTGTGGGCAGGGTGCCAACAGGCGCTCGATGGGGAGCGAGGTGGGAGGGCTTCTCCTGAAGCACTCAAGATGAGCGAAAACCCCTTGAACCCAAGAAAGCCGCCCTCCCTGGCTCCAACCCTCACCCCGGCTCCCTAATGCGCACACTCTTGACGTCCTTTCCCTCTCTCTTCAGCCCTCTCCAGCCAGCGGGGGTCCCTGAGATTACAGCCACCTTCTCTCTACACGGTCACACGCACGCGTGTGTGCAGTCACTCACACCCACACACTGACACACAGAAACGCACACACACCACCCCAGAAACGCACACACACACTCACACTCGCTGGCCTTCCGCGTGCAGCACCCGAAAGGCATGAATATTCATTACTTACAAGCATTAGTGACTGCGAAGCTGTTTGCCACCTCCAAATTGTCGATGTGGGGTGTCAGTCTGAACTCCGAAGTGGAAAACTGAACCATCCCTACTCGAAATGCACTGTATTCTTGATCGGCGCCCCTAGGAAATAGCCCCCCTGCAAAGAACAAACAGCAAGCAAGAGAACAGTGTCAGTGCCCCGGGAGGGAAAGGAGGGGCGCGCGCTAGCGCCCAAAAATCCAAGAGTCTCTTATTCACGCGAATAGGCCGAATAAACACACCTACGGACTCGGACAGCGGGGGTGGAATATCCAAAAGCTAGCCAAGGGGTCAAGACCCAGATGAGAGTCTGAAGGCGAGGTAGGCGGCCAGAAACCTTCACCTTTCCATGTAATCACAAGCTTTGCATTCAGACCCCAAGAAAATCTGAGCAAACTGGAAAATGTCGCTAAGGCAGAATTAATAAAATTTGGGGATCCGAAATGAGAGGACCTTTTCTTCTATTGTATCAAAGGCATAGTCTTTTCCTTTTGCTTCATCCTAAGAAAAACATGTATATTCTAGGTAGTTTAAATCTGGAATGCAGTCAAGGTATGACATAAGTCTACATGACATGAATTAATTTGTACACTGTGAACAAAGATTACCACCAAATTATGCACAATTCAAAAGCATAGCACAAAGGGTACCTACCTATCTGTATGCTGTTAGAAGAGACACCAAAAATCAGTCCCCATAAAACAGGAGAAAGGAGGACAGAAATATGCATAATCTTTTGCATTTCCAAGAAAAGTAGAGCATCCACAATATACCCCTTTTTTTTTCCTTTTCCTCCTCTTCCTTCTTTGGCTGTTTTCCTCTGCAAATTAGATCCTCTGCATTTTGAGACAGCAATTTAGCACCAAGCTGCTAAAACCTGAAGTGGAGGCAGAAGAATCCCTATTTCCCAGGTCCTGCTGGTGGCTGCTGATGCCCTGCGCCCTGTCCCCGCTCCAGAAGTCCGGAGGACTGGCTGAATGCAGTTTTCAGCGGAGCTGCCGCTGTGGTCCCAGTGTCTCGGAATATTCAGCACCCTCCCATGCACTCACACACACTCACCCTCTCTCGCGCTCTCTTCTCCCTCTCTCCTCTCTCACTCACGCGCGCGCGCACACACACACACACACACACATACACACACGCACACACACAGGCAAGTCACAGAGAGGGGCAGGCAGTCCCGGGCGCGCGTGCGCGACTCGCGGCAGGAGGCGGGAGCGCGCGCCCCCTCCCCCGCACGGCGCCCGGCACCCCGCACCACCGTGGACGCGTCGCGTGCGCGGCGCTGAGAAAGCACAGCTCGGGGCCCGTAGCCGCTGTCCCTCCGCGAGACCTCGGGTCTCCGGGGCTGTCGCGCCCACCGCGCGCCTCGGCCTTTCAGCACCGAGGACAGCGCCTCGCTCCCCGCCCGGAGCTACCTTCGTGCGGCTGTTGCAGCTGCTGCGGAGATGCTCCAACCTGGACCAAATGCAGCAAAGCTGATCTCCGGCTGCTGTGTAGAAGCCGAATTGCTAATTGTTGGCGGCGAAGCGTCCTCTCACCAGGCCCTGCTGTCTTACGTTACAAATAATTTTGATTTTTATCTTCCATCTCCTGTGAAAACCCATTTAGCAATACAGAAGCCCTGTCATCCTCCTCACCTGACCCAGCCGAAAGCAAACAAGCAAGCAAAGCACCGTGGAGGAAATATTCCAAAATTGTGCACTTGGGCTTCATGGGATGTAGCCAGGATCCAGGGAGAACCCCAAGTTATATCTTTAAATGCTTAAGCCGCACAAGAGATCAAGATGGAATCTTTTAAATATTTTGCATGAAAATCCCATCTTTAGAGTATATTCCATTGGGCTGTGATGCTGACTCGCCTAGTTACAGAGCGCACGGGTCTTTCTCGCAGCTTTCACTGCAATCCCTCCCTTGTAGAGTCATGTAGACTTGGTTTCCTAGAAGCCCTTGCTTTATGCAGATTGAAAGCAAGAGACTCTGGTTTAAGGAAAGGCTATTAGAGGAAAGTGATTAGAAGATGAAGCTAGTGTAGGAATGCCACAGAGATGCAGATTCTTTCCCAGAGACTTACTTAGAAATCTGTTTCCCCATCGCGTTTTGGCCGGGGGTTTCGAAAAATCACTGCCTAAAGAAAGTAAGCCACCACGCTCTACTGAACACGCGGGCCACAGGGAAAGAAAGATGAGGTTAGATATTAAAAGTTTGAAGGGAGAGAATTGATGGCGAGATGGATGACTGGACTTCCCGTGTGAAATTTATGTTCTTCATGGTGCTTTTTCCAAGCTCATTCCTGGAAACCTGCTCTGACAATTCCCTCTGCGGACTCAGAAAAGCCCCACCAAGTTGCATGTCTTTACTGGTTTAAACAAATAAAGAAAGATTGAGAACAAGGAACTGTTTCCAGGAAGAGGGAGATTGGAGCTTACAGTACTAAAAAGAGAACTGCTAGTATTCCAAAATGCCATGAGTCTATCAGGCTGCCTTCTTGTGCTTGCAGCTTCATTGCTGACTGGATTATCTTATGCTTGCTTCTTAATCACATTGGCCTCAATTTCCCCATTTTAAAAATGATGATGAGCAAAGTGGCTTCTATGGCTCTTGGATCCTATATTGCTGTCATTTCAAATTATAACCTTTCCCTCTTTTTGATGTAGTCCTAAACCATGAAGTGAGAATAGCTGTAATCTATTATTAAGCTTATAAACTATAGACTAAAATATCTCTTAATTTTATGCCTTAGAATTTTATTAGTATGTTATAAGTACTCCACACTGTATATAAAGCAGGTCTTCTAAATAAAAATGTATTTAACCTTTAAAAAATTGAATAATAAAAATAATATATAAAATTAATTAAAATTACAATAAATCGATAAAAAATAAAAAATGAGATATAACTTACATATATTCAAAATTGCAACATAAAGAATAAATAAATCATACATATTTAATCATTATTTGTGATGTAAGGTATACAAAATGATTGGAAATTATTACCTATTTAAAATTTTTAATGTAAAAGCACTAAGAACAGAGCAAAATTTAAAATACCTCTGTAGTTATTTTTTTCTCGATTCACTTGTTTCCACAGGAAAACTTTAATTTCATAGAAAGTAACTTAGAATTAAAGAGAGCGAGGACAGAGAGAGAGGAAGCTTCAATATGAAAAAAATTTGATGTTTAAAATGTGAGTTCAGGTGAATTGAATTTTAAAAAATAAGAATGTTTTCAAACTATTTTCATCTTAACCTATTTCAAAGTCAAGGGCAGATATGAACTCAAAATTGACTGAGTTACATTCTATAAAAAACAAATGCTGTAAAAATAAGAATTTGCTGAATCATAGAGTATAGTAACTAATATGTAAGAGCTCAAGAAAAATATTACTGTCTAGTGGCCAATTACAATTTATATATAAGGTGGAAATAAAAATTTTAGCAAGCATTACTTGTAATTCAACTGCTATTCTATGTATCTATGTTCACAAGGTAGTTATGTATAGACCTTTCACATATTTGGAAACTTATTTCCTATATCAGCATAATTTTATTAATATTATCACTCATGAGACTTTTTCAAATTTCTTATAATGTTTTAATAGCATGTATGTTTCAAGCACAGAATCCTGTCAATATAAGGGTAATAAATTTAAATTGACTACAGTAAATGGTTCTTTATACAAATACATGGAAAAATACTGGAATTTATTTTGTGAATGTACACGGCTCTATTTTTTCATGTAGCAACTTCCTATTTCAAGAATATGTATTTCAAATTGATCACCAATCAATTTTGAAAACTTCAAAACTACTAGATCTACAGTTGACTAGAATAGTGTGCTACAAGAAACAGAGTTTGCTATTTTCTGCCCTCTGCTGTTCAATTTTGGCAATTATGTAAAACTTCATTGCTTCCGCTGCAAGAATTGTAAGTTACAATAAAAAATAAAAGAAATAAAAAATGTGATCCATCGTATCATTTGTTAGTTTAGTTAGGTGGTTGGTTAACAGTTTTTAAATCACTGGCAGAGCAAACTTTTAGCTGACTTTATTATCAAAATTAAGTTATAAATGTCAGTGCTGCAGTTCCTACTGAAGTAGTTTGACCAAAGTGGAGTTCACTCCCTGCCTTCCTGGGACTGTAAAAATGTAGGACATCTAAAAGACTAATATGCAATGCAGAATTTGTAAAAAATGAGTGTCCTCCTACTTTCAGCAGAAGATGGCAAAGGATAGCAGTTCTCGCAGAAGAAACCCATGTTTCAAACGTAAGATTCTATTGGCTGATACAGAGCAAAAGAAACAAAGAAGGAAACATGAGGACTGTAATTACTCAGGGCTATAAATAAAAAAGGGATGTTCACTCTGGGGAGTTTTAGTTCTTTAATTAAGATAAAGAATAATGATATGAAAATAGTTATTCAGATTAATATAGTATTTATTATACCTTTTTGTAACAAAATTTTAAATCATTAACTCAATAAGATAAAGTTTGTGACCCTACAATGCATAGCTAAAGCTAGGCTTTTGTAAGATTTTTAAAAATATATTTAAAATCAAGTTCAAAATGGAAAAATAATTATAGTTTTCATTTTTGATTGTTTAAGGGCTTTGATTATATTATTTTTAATTAATGTTATCCCTATAGACAGCCATTCTATACCAGAAATATTTATTGGAAAATATAGAGTTTCAGTTTATTCATTCATTCAAAAAATATATTAAGGGGCCACTATGTTTCAAATACTGTACTTGATAGGTGGATA
Source organism: Homo sapiens (assembly GCF_000001405.40). Classification (NCBI taxonomy): domain Eukaryota; kingdom Metazoa; phylum Chordata; class Mammalia; order Primates; family Hominidae; genus Homo; species Homo sapiens. The sequence continues at coordinate 157,217,017 of NC_000004.12, read as the reverse complement.
AAATGGTAAACGCAACAGATGCCTTTCTTATGAAGTTCCCAGAATTTAAGTAAGTAAATAATGAAGATCATGTGATGAAAGAAATAAGAAATGGGAAAGGTAGACAAATTATTAAGGCAATATTATGACAGCAATAAAAAATCTATAATGCTCATTATATCTTGGAGCTCAGGACAGAAAAGGGTCTTCAAAGACTGAGACCTAAACTGAGTCAAGTAAGGGTTAGCTAGGTGGAGGGTTGGAATTAACAGTGGAGAACACTTCATGGAAATACAATGACTTCAGCAAAAGCATGTGTGAGGTCCACGAATTACAAGGAATTCGATGTTTCTAGAAAGGGAAGTGTCAAAAAAAGGAGCAGCAGAAACACACAAGACAATAACAAAAACTATGTATTTATCCCATAGGATAAGAGAACCATTTTGAGGATTAGATCTCAAGATCTGCATTTTTAATGGAACATTTTTGAGGTTATTTGAAAATGTATTTAAAGGGAAACATATTGAATGTAGGGAGACCAGTTAGAAGGCCGTATTCCTGGTGAGGGTAATGAGAGTAAGGATTTAGGAAGTAATAGTACAGACAGGAAGAAAAGTTTGGTTTTAGGAAATATTTAGGATAAAAACTTAGTAAAACTTGTTAGTGGGCTTGTATGTAATGAAGGTAAAGGAGATGGAAAAACAAAGCCAACTTCCAGGGTACTAGGCTGAGTGCCCAAAAGGTTGGTTTTACCAAGGGTTGGAGAAAACACTGGAGAGCAGACATGCAGGCAAAGTGATGAGTTCAGCTTTAGACATGTTGAGTTTACAGGGTCAGTGGGCTGTATCCACTTACCTGTTGTGCTAGCACTTAACACTGATTCTAAAATTCAGGGAAGAGGCCTCATGTGGAAGTTAATTTTGAGACTCATCAGACTACAGTGTTTCTCATGACAGTTACCATTTCTTGAAAAGGTTAGTTAAAGAAAAAAAATCCAAGCAAAACAATTAAAAAAAGAAGACACATGCCACCTTTAAAATCCAGCTTTGATTTAATATGGATAAATGTATAATCATTTTCCACTTTCTTAAAGTAGGACCAAGGCCATTACCTTGAGCATGGATCTACCGAATCATTTCCCTTTTTGGTTTCTTTAAAGTAAAGTGAGAACTTAAGAATAGTGTGAAGTGATCAGAATGCTAAATCCTGTTCAGTTTTGAGGATTTTTCTTAACTATTTTACAAAGGTCTTCCTCACACATAATGAAGTATTTTTGCCTCTTTGTATTACTGATCCTTTCCAGAACATTTGACATACTTTTCAACCATTCTATGTTCACAGGTTATCAATTTACACAGTATTTTAATTAAATTATGTAATTTAACTGCCATAAATTTTTTTGTTTTGTTTTTTAATAAATACATTTGACTTTCACTTAAGGAGTAAAAACAGAAATTACACAGGCTGCTCGTCAAAGTATTCAGCAGGCTTCCATTTGTGTTTTTTGTAACATGCAAAAGCAAAGAATAGGAGGGGAAATAAACAAATAAATAGCATAAAACATGGCTGTCATATTTTCTATCTCTGTAGATGATTACAAGACTTAAATTGTTAATCACCAGGGAGCTACATCAGCAAGATGGTGGACTTAGACACACTGATTCAACAATAATATGCAGACCAATTTCTTTTTTGAAACATTCAAAAACTAGTAGACAGGCTCCTGCACTCAATGAGAGCATGAAATGAACGACACTGAAACCAACAGGAAAATTCCAGACACCCTCTCATTATACTCCCCACACCTAGCACAGCAACATATGACCAAGACGAAATCCTCAGCTTTCAGTTTTTCCCAGGATGGGAAAGAGTTAGATTTCACCTACAATGCTCCAACTTTTCTGAATGCAACCCAAGAGACTGGCTTCTGTCTTAAAGTCCTCACAGGACCTGGCATATGCTAGATTCCTGGAATAAGCATGGCAGTCTGAACTAGCAACACAGGCACTCAACACAACTCATCCTCCCAGCTCAGCATAGAGTAAGTGGGTGGAAAACCCCAGTTCCCAGATTCTACCTGAGGGGAAAAAGAGTTCCCTCCCTCCCGTACCGAAAATGAGAATTCAACATTCCAGCTTCTCCAGGTGCTATCCAAAGGAATGGTTTCTGTCTCACCTATCTCAGAGCACAGCTGGGACCCAGGAGATTCTAGATGCCTTGGGGCTGCCAAGAACAGTGACAGCAGTTTGGACTAACAAGAAGGATTAAAATGTCCACAGAATCTCTGGCCAGGCTGATTGGTGGAGATTTTCTCCCATTCAAGGCCAATCAGTGAAGATTGCAAGACATGACAATTTTTTCTAATGCATAAATACCAACATAAAGTGTCAAGGAAAATGAAGACACAGGCAAAAGTGATACAAACGAAAGAACCAAGTAAAACTCTAGAAAATTAGCCCTAATGAAATGGAGATATATGAATTACCTTACAGAGCATTAAATACAGCCATTTTTAAAATGCCTAATAAACTCCGGAGAACAATACATGATCAACAAGAGAATTTCAACAAAGAGACAGAAAATTTAAAAGGAACCGAGTGTTATTTATGCCTGAGATGCAAGAAATGTTCAATTATTGAAAATCAATTAATATGATACACCATATTAACAGAATGAAGGATAAAAATTACATGATCATTTCAACAGATGCAGAAAAGAATTTGACAAAATTTTATAAAAATGCTTTTGTGATCATAACTCTCAACAGACTAGGAATAGAGAGAAATTACTTTAACATAATAAAATCCATATATAAAAAGTCCATGTCTAACATCGTACCCAACGGTTACAAAACTGGAAGCTTTTACACTAAAGTAAGATACAAGGCAAGGATGTCTACTCTCAAAACCTCTACTTAACATAGTACTGGAAGTCCTAATCATTGTAATTAAGCAAAAATAAAAGGCATCCACACAGGAAAGAAAAAAGTAAAATTATCTCTCTTTGCAGATGACACTGTCTTCTTTGTACAGAACACAAAGGAGTCAACAACAACATCAAAAAAAACACCTGTAAGAACTAATAAAAGAATTCATTAATGCTGCAAATTATCAAATCAACATACAACAATCAGTTGTGTTTTTATATACTAACAGTGAGCAATCTGGAAAACAAATTAGAAAAACAATCCATTTACAGTAACTTCAAAAAATAAAATACTTAGGAATAAACTAATGAGGTAAAAACTTATAGACTGAAAACCATAAACATTGATGAAAGAAATTAAAGAAGACACAAACAAATGGAAAGATGTCTTTGTTGATGGATTAGAAAACTTAATATTGTTAAAGTGTCCATACCACCCAAAAGAATATACAAATCCAATGAAAACCCTATCAATATCCCAATGATATCTATAATACAAACAAAAACAATCCTAAAGCATTTATAGAAACACAAAGACACTAAGTAGCCAAAGCAATCATAAGAAAAAAGAACAAAGCTGGAAGGCTCACACTACCTGACTTCGGAACATATTACAAGCTACAATAATTCAAACAGCATAGTCCTAGCATAAAGGCAGACACATAAATCAATGGAACATAATTGAGATCCCAGAAATAAATACACCAATATACAGTCAACTGATCAACAAATATACTAAAAATATACAGTGGGAAAAGAGCAGTCTCTTTGACAGCATTGGGAAAACTGGATATCCACATGCAAAAGAATTAAATTGGACCCTTATCTTACACTATACAGAAAAATCAACTCAAAATGCAATAAAAATTTAAATGTAAGACCCAAAATTGTAAAACTCCTAGAAGAAAACCTAGGGGGAAAACTCCATGACATTGGTCTTAGCAATTATTTCATGAATATGACACCAAAAGCACAGGCAACAAGAGCAAAAATAGACTAGTGGGAGTACATCAAACTAAATAGCTTCTTTATAGCAAAGGAAACACTCAGTAGAGTAAAAAAAGCAACTTACAGAATGACAGAAAATACTGCAAACTATATATTTGATAAAGGGTTAATTTCCAAAATATGAAAACAAAATCTACAACTCAATATTCAAAAAAGGAATAACTCAATTAAAAAATAGGCTATGGACTTGAATAAACATTTCTCCAAAGAAGACATACAAATGGCCAACAGGTATACAAAAAGATGTTTTTTTTTTTTTTTTTTTTTTTTGAGACGGAGTCTCGCTCTGTCGCCCAGGCCGGACTGTGGACTGCAGTGGCGCAATCTCGGCTCACTGCAAGCTCCGCTTCCCGGGTTCACGCCATTCTCCTGCCTCAGCCTCCCGAGTAGCTGGGACTACAGGCGCCCGCCACCGCGCCCGGCTAATTTTTTGTATTTTTAGTAGAGACGGGGTTTCACCTTGTTAGCCAGGATGGTCTCGATCTCCTGACCTCATGATCCACCCGCCTCGGCTTCCCAAAGTGCTGGGATTACAGGCGTGAGCCACCGCGCCCGGCCAAAAAGATGTTTAATGTCACTAATAATCAAGGAAATGCATATCAGTATGGGAATATCACCACACAACTGTTAAGATGGCTATTATAGGCTATTATATATTTTTTAAAAGGATGAATATTAATGAGAATGTAGACAAACAGGAACTTTTGTATACTGTTGGTGGGAATGCTAAATGGTGCAGCCAAACGCAAAACAACATATTGCTTTCTCAAAAAATTAAAAATAACAACTGCCATATAATCCAGAAATTCTACTTCTGGGTATATAACCAAAAAATAAAAATCAGAAATTCAAAGAGGTAATTAGCACTCCCATGTTCATTGCAGCACTATTCACAATAGCCAAGATGTGGAAACCACCATTGATATATGAATAGATAAAATGCGGTACATAAACATAATGGAATAGTATTCAGCCTTTAAAAAGAATGAAATCCTGCCATTTACAACAAAGTAGATGAATGTTGAGGATATTAAGTCAAGAATCCAGTCACAGAAAGACAAACACTGAATGATTCACTTATATGAGGTGTCTAAAATAGTCAGACTTGTAGAAGCAACGAGTAGAGTGATGGTTCGCAGAGGCTGGATGGTAGGGAGTATGAAGAGTTGTTATTGAATAGGTATAAAGTTTCAGTTAGGCATGATGAATTATAGATCATCTGTACAGCATTACACCTATAGTTAACAATAATAAGTTGTGTACTTGAAATATTAAGAGGGTATCTCTCATGTTAAGTGTTCTTATCACAATGAAATTTAAATACTAAAAAATGGTATCACAGCCACTTTCACTAAATACTCCTTCCATATCTTCATTAATTTTGTCAACACATCTTAGTCAGACAGAATTCTTCAGTTGGTGTGTATAGTCCAAACCCTCATTCCTGCAGGATCCAAGTTCTTGATGTTTGTATTTTTATGTGTTTCTAGAGATGTTTTGTTTTGTTTTGTTTTGTTTAACTGATTACTGGGCAAGGGAATACTAAGAGGCACTCTACTGAATAGTGAACTTCTCAGGTTCCAAATATAGTCCTCATCTCTTCTATTATATAGACCATCTTTCTCCGCATAGTCAGTATCATTTACCTAGGCAATAGAGAGACACTTATTTCAGTTGTTCATTGAGCATCAAAAGGAGCCCGATATGGATACGGGACAGATAGCTTTCAATTAATCTAGAACATAGCCATTTTTCTCATGGAAACATTCCTTCCTTGATCACCAAATCAACCATAACCAAGATTCTAGGGTCATGAGGCAAAAATTATTTAAGTACACTCTTGAATGTAACAGTGAGTAGGGTCACTTTCCCTTCATTCCAAAACTGTTTACATTCTCATTAGGGAAGGCTGCATCATTTATTGACACAATTATTGAAAGCATATCTTTAATTCTTTATGATAGTGTCCCATCCCTTTAGAGTGTTCTCTCTAAGCTAGTATCAACACTGAGCCACCAGCAGGCTCTTCCACCATTCTATCAAGCGCATTACTTTAGAGTGATGGAGTACATAGCTCGATGAGTGATTTTCAGGGGCATGAATCCATTACTATAGTCTCTTTTCCCTAAAATGTGTTTCTTGGTAGGAAGCAACATTGCAAGGGATTCCATGGTAATGAATTCTGAAAGTCCATTAATCCATTAGTAGTAGTACCAGATGAAGTACTGAGTATAGGAAAGGCAAATCCACATCTAGAATACGTGTCTACTCTGTGAGAACAAAGCAATCCCCCTATCTGATGATCCTCTCCAATGTGATCACGTCATTAATTGTTTTCCATCAGAAAATTGTCGATCACTACTGCTGGCAAATTGGCAAACCAGCAATTGCCCTAGGTAGTTTAGTCTTAACAAGAGAAGAATCTGCTGTTGACCTCAGACATAACTTCCATCCCTGCTGCCACCAAAGTCGTTTTGCATGTGGACTTACAAAGAGAACAACTGTGGCTGGGCAAAGAGTTTGCCTGTCATCCACAGGATAGGCCATCTAGTTCATGATTAAGATTCTCTTCCGAAATGATTGTCCCTCCGATGGACATCTGTGAAGGACATAAGTGTCTTCACTCTCTATGTGCATCCATATACTTCTGTCTCACATCTCCTTACCACAAATGTTCAGTTCTGTTCTTTCCAGCTCTTGACAGCTGACCAACCCATTAGCCATTGTCCATATATTTCTGGATTTAGGCAATTTCTCACTTCATATAAAGTTGAAAAACATGATATGCCATCTAATATAGTTTACCAATGTCTTTCATGGCCACTCCAGGGTGAGGTTTTCTGTAGCAGCCATCCACTTCCAGCTAGTGCTCATACAACATACATAACCATTCCTAAACCAAGCCTGCCCTTCACCTAACTTTGCAAACTAACAGATAATAATAGCGAACAACCCAAGGGGCCATAATATACCTTAAAGGAGAGGTAGCAAGGCTGTAGGAAAAGATACGATGGAAGTCTGAGCTACTCTCTTATACAATTTGTGTCTTCTAGATGTGCTAAAGCCAACTTCTGTATATTCTATTTCTATTTTACAACGGTATATTGATGATCATGCCAAATGTAAGGGTAAAATGGACCAGATATGCCCATTTCTTCAGGATGGGAAGATCAGGTTGCAGTTATGTGGTGTCCTCTGGACAGAAGCTCAAGTATATACCACGGCCCAGTGGCAAGCCAGATGCCACTTTTGAAATGAAAAAGAATTGCCAGCAGAGGGGAGGTCTGACTTCAAGCACTGGGCATCTGTATTGTGACTTTCTTCATGCAGTGTGACACAGGCTCTCCATTAGCATCTCTGTCTGCCCCAGCTGCCTCCAATACAATTGTGTCTACTGAACCTCAAGACTCAAGTGTCAGCTTGCACCGTAGCCTGAACCTGCTGCTACATTTTATTTTTCTCAGTTCATCTATCTGCCCTACAGATTATTCCTAATAAATGTGTCAGAATGAGAGGTGAAGCTGGCTGGGCTTCTGGGTCTGGAGGGGACTTGGAGAACTTTTCTGTCTAGCTAAAGGATTGTAAACGCACCCATCAGCACTCTCAAAACGGACAAATCAGCACTCTGTAAAACGGACCAATCAGCACTCTGTAAAATGGACCAATCAGCTCTCTGTAAAATGGACCAATCAGCAGGATGTAGGTAGGGCCAAATAAGGGAATAAAAGCAGGCCACCAGTGCCAACAGCGGCAACCCACTCGGGTCCCCTTCTGCAGTTTTGTTCTTTTGCTCTTCACAATAAATCTTGCTGCTGCTCACTCTTTGGGTCCGTGCCACCTTTATGAGCTGTAACACTCACTGTGAAGGTCTGCAGCTTCATTCTTGAAGCCAGCGAAGACCACGAACCCACCGGGAGGAATGAAAAACTCGGGATGGGAGGAACAAACAACCCCAGACCTGCCACCTTTAAGAATTGTAACACTCACCGGGAAGGTCAGCAGCTTCAATCCTGAAGCCAGCGAGACCACAAACCCACCAGGAGGAATGAACAACTCCAGACACGCCGCCTTTAAGAGCTGTAACACTCACCGCAAGGGTCCGAGGCTTCATTCTTGAAGTCAGCAAGACCAAGAACCCACCAATTCTGGACACAAGCGCAGCATGCCCAAATGTGGTACACATTGCCTGCATAATCCAAAGAAGCCTACCAAGCATTGTGATGGGTGGTAGAAGGTACCAGCCTCAGATTACTGGGCACTTAAAAAACTTCATCTGTGAAGCAGACCTCTAACTTCTGAGGGATTTATCTTCCACTGCAATCACACATATTTTTACTAATATATCTGAGAAACTTATTTTTTGCTCACCAGGTACAATTAACAGGGTTTCTTCAATATAATGTATTAATTGAATTGCTGTAGAGACCATCACATCCAGAACAATCTTTGTACCTCTCTTGACAGAGTGGGATCGAGCTCTTATTATCAACCTAGACACAATAAGAGATGTTGGGATGGGAAAGAATTCACTTTGTCTTGGGAAGCAACTGTCCCATATGTAGTCAGGTTTTTTCTTTTTTCTCCCTCAGATAAGAGATTATTCTCTAAGAGAATGAAAAGATTTGCTTCTGCTTACACAGAAATATGGGGGAATTTGGAGTTTTAAGACTCCCAGCTTCATCTATGTCTAAATAAATGTCTTTAGTTTATGTGTCAGGATTTCAGTCCTTGCCACCAATACCACTATCTTAGAGATGTGTGGTAGAGCATTTAATTGGCACTGGAAACTCTGTTTACTTAAAAAGAAAATTTAGATTTCCCACAAGTTATAAATTTCCCTCTACTACAGGAGAGGAGGGACTCATTCAAAACTTCAGGGAATCTTTCTACTTCTCCCATGCATATCCCTAATTGCATGCTTACAGATTTTAATTTCTCATATTCCCTGTGTTTGTTCTCTAGGACCAGAAAAAGCAGCTGAATAGCTGCGATATCTGAAATCACTACTATATTCTTAACAACTAAGTGAAACCTGATTTCTCTGAAATCCCTCTTCATCCTATGCTATCATCAGTAAAAATGAATGCTGGTAATCATGACACCTTCATCTGTCATAAATTTTCCATGTCTCACCACCTGTTTTTGTAAGGAGCATGTCTCTTGCATCTCAAATACATGAGCAACCTAATTCTTCTGAATCCTACTGTGAGGTTCTGTTTTGTAGGGTCAGTTGCAGTACCAGTTGCTCTGTGTCTGGGTCCCCACAGAAAACAAAAACAGATGGCATATACAAACAGGCTGATCCAATAATATTTTACTTACAATGTACGTGTGAGTGAGGGAAATAATAAAAGTTGGTTGAATAATTCAAGGTTACTAGCAACGGAGCTGTTGAAATCCTTAGGCTGAGGAAGGAGTTCAGTCACTGAATACAGGAGAGAGTCATGTAGCGGTCGCCTGGAAAGATGCAGTGACCTTTAGTGAAAGCATACAGATCACCTGAGCTCACCTATCAGGAAGGAAGCCAGAGGGGGAGATATTCTGACCTCACTCTTCTTTCTCCTTTCTTCAGGCTCCTTGTTGGTATAAGACAACTGAAAGGCAGAGTGAAGGAAGCCTAATGATATAGTTTATACAGGTCAGCCACCTGGGGCAAAAAGCAGGGTGGAGAAGGGGAGAGAATGAATTTGAAGAGGAGGTACAAATATGCCAGTACATATAGGCCATTCTTTCTTAAGCTTAATCAAGATTCAGATAAATGTTACAATAAGAGAGGTACTGCTAGGCAGAGACACTGAAAGTTGAGATGCATAACAGATACAGGAAGGGGAAGATGTTGCTTTCATTGTCAATGGTTAGCAGGTAGATTGCTTGGTAGATGGTTTGTTTTTAAGGGAAAAGAAGGATGGTATGCTATCTGGGCTCCACTGGGGTTCCAATCCACTGATTAATATTTTAGAAAGATAGGAAGATAATGGAGGAGATGATTTGCCAGAATTTCTGTGAGAGAGAATGGCACAATTTGTGCCATTTTAAATACTCGCCACCCCCTACTGCTCTGCCCCAAATTTGCTTGGATCATGATATGACTATATCATGGACACATTATAAAGTACATAGATGTTCTCACATACGGCGTTTGCATCAGGAGGTGGGGAAGGTTCTGTCATAGAATGGCTTCAGAAATGTCAGACATTGATGAGGGGATGAGAACTGAAGAATCGTGGAGGAAACCTTTAGGAACATATGTGAGATAATTTCAGAGACACACAGAAGTGTGAAAATGAATTTTGGAAGGGCTAATGTATTTTGCAGAAGGTGTCAAGAGCCAGTAAAATTTTAAATATTATTTTTTAAATGACACATTTTGAAACCACAGACTATGAAGACCTGGGGGAATACAGTTTGTACTGGTGAGATCAATTTTTAGAGACTTGGTTACCTTTCCTACTTGACCCAGACTAGACGTTTTTCTGATTTTCTGAATTCATTTTCTATGATGTAACTTTGTTGATAGAAATGAAGTAGCCAGAAAGCCCAAGAATCTGCCATTGTTTCCAACATAGACCAATAAGAAGCATAAAAAATTTACTCTCTAGTAATATTTTGTATGGAATATTGCAAAGAAAATTTATTTAAAAATTTTAGGCCAGGTGCAGTTGCTCACGACTGTAATCCCAGCTCTTTGGGAGGCCAAGGTGGGTGGATCATGAGGCCAAGAGGTTGAGACTATCCTGACCAACATGGTGAAACCCCATCTCTACTAAAAATACAAAAATTAGCCGGGCATGGTGGCCACGCCTATAGTCCCAGCTGCTCGGGAGGCTGAGGCAGGAGAATCACTTGAACCTGGGAGGCGGAGGTTGCAGTGAGCGGAGATCGTGCCACTGCACTCCAGCCTGGCAACAGAGAAAGACTCTGTCTCAAAATAAATAAATTAATTAATTAATTAATTAATTAATTAATTAATTAAATTAAGTAAATTTAAAAAAGTAATAGGGCAATTATCTTTAAGAGTTTATAAAATACCCAACCCAAACCAAACAATATTAAAGACAGAATAGCCTAAATTTAGAAAGAAATATTACATTAAAAACAATAATTGTTAACATAATTAAACAAGTAAATGTACAGTTATGCACCAGATGATGATGTTTCTGTTGACAATAGACCACATATAAAATTGTGATTCCATAAAATTATAATGGAACTGAAAAATTCCTATTACCTAGTAAGATTGTAGCCATAATATTGTGACATAATGCATTACCCATGTGTCTGTGGTAATGCTGATGTAAACAAACCTACTATGCTGCTGGTTTTATAAAAGTATAGCACATACAATTATGTATAGTACATCATACTGAATAATAATACACAACTATGTTACTGATTTATGTACTTACTATACTGTACTTTTCATTATTTTAGAATGTACTCCTTCTACTTATTTTTTTTTAAGTTAACTGTAAAATGCTTCAGCAAGTCTTTCAAGAAATATTCCAGAAGAAGACGTTGTTACAGGAGATGACAGTTCCGTGTGTGTTATTGTCCCTGAAGACCTTCCCTCGGGACAAGATGTAGAGACTGAAGAGAGTGATACTGATGATTCTGTTTCTGTTGTAGGCCTAGGCTAATGTGTGTATTTGTGTCTTTGTTTTCTTAAACTTTTAACAACAACAACAAAAAAGTTTAAAAAGCAAAAAAGTAAAAACGATTTTAAAAATAGAAGAAAGGCTTATAGAAGAATATTCAAAAAGAAAATATTTTTTAAAAGATGTACAATGTGTTTGTTTTAAGCCAAGTGTTATTACAAGAGTCAAAGTTTTTCAAAGTTAAAAGTTTAAAAATAAAAAAGAAGCAATACACTAAGAATAATTTATTATTGAAGAAAATAATATTTTAGAAATTTAGTAAGCCTAAATCTACAGTGTTTATAAAGTCTATAGTCATATGCAGTCATATCCTAGGCTTTTATATTCACTCACCCAGTAAATGTAAACTGGCTCACCCAGAGCAACCTCCAGTCCTGAAGCTCCATTCATGGGAAGTGCCCCTATACACCACTTTAATCTTTTATATCACATTTCTACGATATACCTTTTCTATGTTTAGGTATGTTTAGATACACAAATACCATTGTGTTACAATTGCCTGCAGTATTCAGTGCAGTAATATGCTGTACAGGCCCCGCACACACACGGGCTGGCCAAGCAGCCACTTCCTGGTGCGACCGTCAGTGGCGGGAAGATGGCGGAGGTGGTCATGGGCAAAGAAAAGCGCCGGCAGCAGCCGCTCCTCTGGCTGCCCCTGTCTCGCATCCGGGTCATCATGAAGAGCTTCCCGAGGTGTCCAGCGTCCACCAGGAGGCGCTGGTGCTCACGGCCAAGGCAATGGAACTCTGTTCAATATCTAGCCCCCTTTTCATAAAGACAAAGACATGGCAGTGCGAAGGAAAAGAAAACACTGACAGCGATTTAGCAAATACTGCAGAGGAATCAGAAACTTTTCAATTTCTTGAAGATATATTGCCAAAGAAGATTTTAGCTAGTAAATACCCGAAAATACTTAAAGAGGAAAGAGGGAAAAAGATGAGGAGAATGACAATGATAATGAAAGTGACCATGACCAAGTTGAATCCTAAACCAAAGAAGTGCTTTAAAAACCAACCTGGCGAAGGAGGACTGCCCTGGACCCGCTCCACTGCCGCCAAGTAAACACAACGCTGCGCCCCTTTAGTGTCTTCACTTCTTCGCAGACTTCCAGTGCATGGTATTCTTTCCAGGACAAGATTGAGGTCCTCATGTACCTGTGCCACAAACAGCCAGAGGGAAAGTGACCCAAACAGCTGTCCCTCTTTGACAGGTCCGCTCTACAGCTCAGACACCAAGAAAGCAGCGGATACCGGCAGCCATTGCGGGCTGATCTGCTGTAGCGCCAAACTGCAAGGACAATTTCCTTTTTCTTTCTTTCTTTTTTTTTTTTTTTTTTTGAGACGGAGTCTCGCCCTGTCGCCCAGGTTGGAGTGCAGTGGCACGATCTCGGCTCACTGCAAGCTCCGCCTCCTGGGTTCAAGCAATTCTCCTGCCTCAGCCCCCCCAGTAGCTGGGATTATGGGCGCGTGCCACCATGCCCGTCTAATTTTTGTATTTTTAGTAGAGAAGGGGTGTCATGATGTTGGCCAGGCTAGTGTCGAACTCCTGACCTCGTGATCTGCCTACTTCGGCCTCCCAAAGTGCTGGGATTACAGACGTGAGTCACTGCGTCCAGCCGCAAGGACAATTTTAACTTTTAAATTCACAATAGATTTTGAAGAGCTTCTACAGATCAGTTATGTACATTCATATATGTAAATTTTGGAATCAGTTCTTATAAACAGCCTGATTCAATTTTAGCTAGTTTATAAGTAGTATGTTACATTTGAATTCTTGTCTTTCAAGAAAAGTTGACTATTTGTTCAAATATTATTTTTCTACTGTAAAGAAATATACTTTTCTATTAAAAATCTGTACATATTTTTATGGTAAGATGCTTTATAGAACTAGTTTTAGAGCCCTCTATGGCTCTAAGTCCTTGCTTACTGCCTGCAAATTTTGTGAAATTTAAAAATAAGCATTCTAACACGTTTATTCCCATAGAAAAATTGCAAGTCAAATTATCAAACCAAATACAAAAATAAGCCTTACCTCTGGTATAAGCACGTTGTTCTAAAACAAACAAACAAACAAAAAAAACACACATTTTGAAACATTTCTTTGTTGAAGATCTCTCTCATACTGTTCTTTGCTTTAAATCCCTAGTACTTGTTTTTACTGTCTGTAAGAGAAAAACGGCCAGGTGCGGTGGCTTAAGTCCATAATCCCAGCACCCTGGGAGTCCGAGGTGGGTGGATAACCTGAGTCCAGGAGTTCGAGACCAGCCTGATCAACAAGGTGAAACCCCATCTCTACTAAAAATACAAAAAATTAACCAGTCATGGTGGCGGGTGCCTGCAATCCCAGCTACTCAGGAGGCTGAGGCAGGAGAATCGCTTGAACCCGGGAGGCGGAGGTAGCAGTGAGCCACGATCACACCAATGCACTCCACCCTGGGCAACAACAGCAAAAACTTCGTCTCAAAAAAAAAAAAAAAAAAAAAAAAAAAGATGAAACCTATTACAAGACTTTTTTTTTCCACAAAGGGTATATGTTTGGTTCCTCTCTCTCACTCTTTTTCTTTTTGAAGAAAAGGTTTATAATTTACATTCAGTAAAATCATCCTTTTTAGTGTCTAGTCTGTGAATTTTGACAAATGCATAGTTTTGTAACCAGTCGGTAGGCAGGACAGATCCATCACCCAAAACATTCCCCTCTGCCCCCTTGTTTTCAGTGTTTTCTGCCCCCTGGCAATCACTGATGTTTTCTGTTCCTCTTGTTTATTAACATTTATTTTAATATAAAATATTTTAAAATCAAAAATTATATATGCTGTACAGATTTCGTAGACTAACAGCCAGAAACTATACCACATGGCCTAGGTGTGTAGTAGGCTATAACATCTAGGTTTGTGTAAGTATACTCCAGGATGTTTGCACAATGAGGACATCACCATTAATGACACATTTCTCAGAATATAGCTTCATTGTTAAGCGACACGTGACTATAATACTTGGATAAAATTATGCTAATGTCTGTGATATTTGGTCAAATGAAATTCCCTCATATACTGAATTTTTATTTGTATTGCTCTGTTACATTTTCATTCATTCCACAAATATTTATTGAATACCTATGTGCTGCGAAGAGAGAAACTAATGTTAATATGATAGTTTGCCTTCACAGAGTTCATGTTCTAGTGAGAGAGACAGACAATTGCATTGAAGGGCTAAAGTTGTGTATAAAGTTACTTCTGTTCTCAAGATAAGAGGCATGATTCAAATAACACAGAAAACGAATTCCCCTTTCCACTGAGTCTTATGGAAGAGCAAAATAAGGAAGATGTCAATCGCAGAGCCTTCACCAGGTTTGAGTTACTGAAAGACAGCACAGACCTTGGCTAATCTGTTATTTAATAGAGCACTTTAAGGAGTCCTTAGAAGTACAAAGGTGGATCTTAGCTAAAAAGAGGCAGAAAGAGCTAAATTATACTTATTGTTTTTTGAATAAAAAGAGGAGACTGGAATTTGGAGAAGACATCCAGTACAAATGGCCCAGAAAACAGAGAAGCAAAGAAACACCGCATAGTAGGAGGCTAGATCTCACAGAGAAGGCGGTCAGAAATTCCCAGGAAGGAGGACCTAAACTACTTATTTTAAAAATGGAGGTCTGATATTCAAAGTTGTATTGCTAGGACATAGCCCCTTTCCTTGTCTAAACCTTCAGTGTAACTTTGCTTTGTAGGTTGAGTTCCACTTCAGCCTACAACCTTGCTTCTGCAAGAGCAGAAAGCAGTTACTACCTTGCTCGCTTCGACAGCACATGTACTAAAATTGTAACGATACAGAGAAGATTAGCATGGCCCTTGCGCAAGGACGACATGCGGACTCCTGAAGCGTTCTATATTTTTGTGGGAATTGAACAATGAGATCATTTGGTCACAGGGCGGGGAACATCACACACCAGGGCCTGTTGCAGGGTTGTGGGCTGGGGTAGGGATAGCGTTAGGAGAAATACCTAATGTAAATGATGAGTTGATGGGTGCAGCAAACCAACATGGCATTGTATACCCATGTATCAAACCTGCATGTTGTGCACATGTACCCTAGAACTTAAAGCATAATTTAAAAAAAAAGAAAAAGAAAGAAAGAAAGCAGTTACTACCTAGATTTTGGATATCTGGGGTAATGCCTACAACCTGTCACACATTTTAGTAAATCTGTTTTCAAAGGGAAAATAAATAACGGTATAACTATTGGAGAGTGAAGCCTGAGGAAAAATTTAGTCGTTTTTATTATGACGATACAGAGGTTTTTATACTTGGTTAAGGCAGGAAGGAATAAATGTTTCCTTTTCTAAAAAGAATAATTTGGTTGCTAAGTCTGTGAAGTTTTATGCAAATAACAAGAGAAATTGCAGCTCCAGTTGCCTTAACAGTAACTTAAATATATTGACTGATATAACTAGAATTCCAGACTTATAGCAGAATTTGGCTGATCCAATTCACCCCAATCACTCTGATTTTCTAAAATAAGTTTTAGTCTAAGGTTAAGATTAATTCCTCTTACAGTTGCAGCAACTGGTGTTTACACCAGTTGGAGAGAAAGCACTCTGGCTACAGTATTCCAACTACATGTCCTAAGGTATATCCAGCTGGCTTGTGTAGTTTACATGGCCAGTACTAACCCAATACTTACAACAGGGGAAAAGAAATGCAGTGATTATATCTGGGACCTACCACTACAGCTAGGAGTTAGTGAAATGTGTCAGTATTGTTTCAAAATGAGGAGGAAGAAGAAAGGGATGCTAAACAGAAAAACAAGTATGTCCATTAGAGTAGATAAATATGGGGCGTGGAGATAAGGCTAAATCTAAGAAAGAAGAAATTCTATGACTTCATACAGAAGCACATTTTCTCTAGACTGAGAATACTTTAAATGGATTTGATCACTTATATATCATTTGCTATGAATATAACATTCATAAACTATTTATTTTTAAAATGTAGGTCTGATATTCAAGGTTGCATTACTAGGACATAACCCTCTCCCTTGTCCAAACCTTCAGTGTAAGTTTGCTATGTAGACTGAATATAGCATTCATAGCAAATTATATCGAGTGATCAAAATTCATTGAAAGGCTTCTCAGTCTCATTTCAAAGGTGTTCCTTGCACACTGTATAAACTCTGTGAACTCACAACCTGGGAGAATTTCAAGGTCATAAAAGTAGTTTGAGGCCCAAATAAACCCTAAACTATACAGAATGTCTTCTTTTTTCCAGCAGTTTTATAACATCATAAATATTTTTGTGTCTGATACTGCTAATGAATTCCACAAAAGAATTTTATCCCACAAACATCATTGTTCAGCATTCTCCTTTTGGCAACAGTAATTAGGTTATTTTATGTGACTATGCTAAAATATATCATGATTATATAGCTATTTTTAAAAAATCAGAATGAGCAAAATTTTATCATATTATCACAAAATGACCACAAAGTTTGTTTTTGTTGTCCTGTTGGTTTTTGTTTGCCTACTTTTTTCAGAACTTAAATAGCAGTGTACTGACTGGTATGCTACCAATAAAACATTGTTGCACTTTATATCATGTATGAGGAATGTGTTAAAGTTGCAACCAGAAGATATTTCTCAGATGGTAACATTAAAGCTAAAATTCTAGTTAGAGTACATTGTACTGCATGCAAGGATCAAAGCTACTTACAGAAATAAAGAAAAGAAACCTGAAATAAGTCTCACCAACTACCCAAGGTTTTGAAAAATTAATTATAAATGTATACAATCTTACAACTCATTATTAATTTTAGAACAATATCCCTGTCTGACACAGGTCTAATTCAGGTGCACTATAAACACCGCTTTCCACTGGAATGCATTACAGAGCATAGTTTTAGTGACAAGAAGTCCTGGTACCATTAGTGATTAGACAATTTATAGACACAAATAATATGTTTTGATCCTACTCTTATAAAGAATTTTAAAGAATGAGAACTATTTTCCTTCTCACATTCAACTCTTTTGAAATGTTTTGCTGGGCTTTGAGTCCTAGAGGCAGAAGGATTCCCTTTTTCTAGGGTCAGATATAAGAGGCTTTGAATTAAATTGTCATAAATGGAAGGGTGTGGTTCTGAAGTTAATAGAATATTAAGGCTAAAAGAGCTTCAACTTCTAGAAAATTTCTTTGAGATGAAGAATAGAGATGGGTGTTTTGTTTACTTTGGTTTTGATTTTTTCTTTTTCCTTGAGAGTAGTGGGGGATGTGGTTCTTCGTAACACATGGAGAAATATGGACTTGAGAGCCACTGAAACCTAAGATGGGGTGGCATGTGGATGCTTGGAGAGATGGAGAATGCCAACAACCATGGTATGGTTAGGCTTCTGCTCATGTTTCTCATGGAAGGATTGAGCTGTTCACATCTGAATAATCACATGGCTCAGAAAATGAGCATCTTGTCAACAACTAGATGTATTGCAGAATGTAGTTCTTCTTTCCGTATTCCAGGCATTACAAAGTTCTCTAGTTTGTCATGTGACCCTAAGAAGGAGAATGATCTCTCAAAATATAACCAAATTGAATTTCTTTCCACCCTGGGAAAGTGAGGACATTGAGTCAGATTTAACTTCAATTAGCAAAATAAGGGTACCGTGACCTCCCTTACAATTGAGGGTGGAAATCACATTCTCTATTTATTATTATACTTTTGATCAGTATTACAATCCAGCTGACACCAATAATTAAAATTCCCCTTCAGTTGGTGTATTTCAAAACTCTAAAATAATTTCCTTCTTTAAATTCCAAATAGTAAAGACAGAAAACAAAACATTACTTAGCCAAAATACTTCTGTAAAAACACTAAAGCCTTCTTTAATGTAGAAATAAATGAGAGGAAAAAAATGTTATTATATTAGGATGAAAACAATCCTGCACTCAAGCAAAGGCAACCTTTAGAACACCTGGCTTTTGTCCAGGTGCAGTGGTTCACACCTATAATCCAATCACTTTGAGAGGCCCAGGTGGGTGGATCACCTGAGGCCAGGAGTTCGAGACCAGCCTGGCCAACATGGTGAAAACCCGTTTCTACTAAAACTACAAAAATTAGCCGGGCTGGAACCTGGGAGGCAGAGGTTGCAGTGAGCCGAGATCGTGTCACCGCACTCCAGTTTGAGCGATGGAACCAGACTCTGTCTCAAAAACAAAAAACAAACAAAAAACAAAACAACCAAAAACAAAACACCTGGCTTTTAAGCAATCTATAGAGTTAATGAAAAAGGAAATAGATAGGGAGTTGATGAAAGGCCAAATAGATAGGGACAGTACTAAAATGTCCAAACTTCTCAAACAGCATTTTCTGCAAATGCAGACATAGTTTAAAAAACAGTTATATTACCTATTTTCCAGTCATGATTCAGGCAAGGCACAAGAAGAAGGCCAAGATTAGCTGGAATAACATTTATGCAGCTCAGTTTCTCCATAGATTAGCAAAAGAATTTGGGTCTGAAGGAGCTACTCACATCACAGGGCATCCCACCTCTGGCATTCTTTAAATGGTATTTTCCATTTACTGTCTATTTACGTTTGACCATTAAAATTTTAAAGCAGCTTTTCAAATTCAGTATGTTTTTAAATTATTGTACAGGGAAGGAGTCTAAGGAATATGAACAGCAAATCTTGATCATCAGTCTTGAAATTGTCTAGGAGAATGTTGGACAAGAAGATCTCCAATTTTTATGTCTCATATTAGAGCCAAAATTGCATTATTCAGATAAGTTATGTGTTCACATAAGTGAGTATAATTGTGTTATATATGGGAGTAATAATAATTTCCTCTATCCTTATATATATAAAGGAAAACATATTGCATGCTGAAAGTTCTGGAATATTGTCTCTGCTGAGTACCTACTGTATGCCAGACACTAGATGTTTTAAAAATTCACCTCATTTTATCTTCATGACAACCCTCTTAGACGTAACATTGTTTTATAGAGTAACAAACTGAGTCCTGATATTTTAAGCAACTCTGAACTAGTAGGTGATAGACGAGGATATAAAAGTAAATTGCATTTAACTCCTAAAACCATATGTGATCCACTGTTCTAGAATAAAAAACAGAATAAAAATGCATAATAAAATCATAGTAATGAGAAAGAAAATGTGATCCTCAATTTCTGACTCACATGTGCCATCTACCTCGCAGATCATCCCCATACAGGCCTCTTTCTATTCTTCGATTCATTGTTCAATTGTTCATCACACAGTTATTGAATTCCTCCTATTAGCAAGGCAAGGGACTGTTGAAGATACAGTATTAAACAAGTCAAACTGTGGCCCTTGTTCTTATGAAAATATTATTTAATATTTTTTACTTTATAACTACAGACACCAACAAGTTAATTTATAATCTAACAAAATAGTTACAGACTGTGATAAGAAACAAGAACAATTAAACAGATACATGATGACAAAAAGGGAAGGAGAACTGTCCTTTAAAGAATCGTTGTCAGAGAAACCAATTTGAAGCTGTTATCTTTTCTGGGAACAGAAGGGAAAAAAAAAACCCACATCTTTTAATACACTTACTTTCAGACTCTAGCGAGAGACACACTTCAAGTAAACCCATGACTATTCCAAGAGAACTCCAATAAGATCCATACAACAAAATATTATGCTCTTAGTCTCTGACTACATAGCTGGAGCATTCCTTTAAAACTCGTTACTGGGGAATAAAATGTTGGTATATACTCACTGATAAGTAAGAATATAGCATAGATTTAATCTGATTTATAGATTAAATTCTCTAGATCACTGAGTGGGAGATTGAGTGATTAAAAGTGCTATTACTATTTGTTGTTATTGTTTTCATATTGAGGTTTAGAAGTTAAAACAATTAAGGATGATCTGTAACTTTTGGAGAACATCGTAGAGAACTCTGAAGCCATGTGTGAGCTCAGCAGGAACAGTGCCAGCATATGTGCAATGCACCTAATAAGGGGCAGCAGTGGGAGTGAGGGAAGCCTGATAGCAAAATGCCACCTATTTGCCATTTCTCTTGTAACACATAAAAGTTACTCAGAAAGATGACAGGAATTGGAGATTACTAACCAGGTATCTTAAGCCAGACTCTCCTAGAAGCAGAACCTGAGCCAAAGATTCAAATGCAAATGATTTATAAAGTACCCCTGGGAGAAACCAGTTAAGGAGTGAAGGAAGCCAGCTAGGGAAGGGGAGTGAGCCCAGGAAGGGTGTTACTTCAGGGGAAGTCCCTGATTCAACCTGATCCCTGTGAAGCACAAAGTGAAGCTTCCTTGCTCAAAACAGTTAGACTTACTGGGGACCAGGATGGTCCTCTGAAAGTCCCAAGGTGGAAAATGGGAGGATACGGAGACTCTTAGTGAAGGAAACCAAGGTATGGATGAAAGTACAAACTGGAAATTGAGGCTGGACAGATTCTTCTGAGGCCTCCTTGTCTTTAACTACATGCATAACTGGAAGAGATATTATGCGTGAATGAGAAACAGGTATGTTTTTCGCAAGGGGTATAAACTAAGCCTACTTTGGCCCAATTTAAATTGGCCATAGTAAATGGGAACTTTGGAATTGCCTGAGCTCTTCCCAGTAGAAAACATTAAGCAATACAAAAATCCAGAAGGGCGATGAGATATCACTGTTCTGATTAAGGAAATGGGAGAAGTGATTCCCACTAACTCCTCTTTTATTGATCCTGTCTAGATAGTATATTAGGCAGACAGTTGCTGAAGGTTAACAGTAGACAATTTAGAATTACATATAGTGAACCTTTGATTCATTCAGTATACCTGATATGCCAAGGCTATGTAGGAAGTACAACAGGAAAAGGGAGGCTCATATGCTCCCATGTATCTGGCCAAAACCTAATTTTCCAATCTCAATTTTGAAGTCCAGCCAGAATATTTTGCATTCTCCTGGAACAGAGTATACACTTTCCGTTTTGCTGTAGGAATATTTTAATTTACCAGCGCAATACAATAGTGTAATGAAGGATCTGAAAACCTTCACAAATAAGTTAAACTCCTAAACTCCTAAACTATAATTGTTTCCTTAGATGGGAAATCTCAGGAGAAACTAAGGGCTAAACCAATAGAGGCTGGCTGATGAATTCAGATTTAGCCTGGTCTGTAGAATTTCTGGGGATTTCTAAAACCACAAGAAATCAGTTATTATTTCTCACAGATCCTGCCAATAAACAAGAAGCTCAATGATTAGCAGGACTATCTGGGTTTTAGCAAAATCAACCTCATCTAATAATCCTGTTGGCTCCTAATCACAAAATCACCAGAAAGAAATCTAAATTGGAATTTCCCTCTGAGCAGAAACGATTAAAAGATTTACAGAGAGTGGTGTGACAAGCGGCCCTACTGAGCCCTGAAGACCTAACTGCTCAAATTACATTAGAAATGTCTGTAACCAGAACATTCATAGACTGGACACTTTAGAAAATTTGAATACATCTATCCAACAAAGCTTTCTCAGGTTCTGGATCTGAGAGCAGTCAAAGACAGCTGTTAATTCTAGTCTACTTGAAAGATAATTGTTGTCTTGTTATTGAATGTTAATCAAAATGTCACCCACCACAAAAGGGGTCAGATAAATCTAAGGCCAGAAATATCAGTTAGGACTTAGGTGATGTCAGTGAAGTATTCTAACAGAGAAAGAGCTGTACAGCAAAGATTACTCCTAAAATGGAAGTGGTATATTTAAGAACAGCAAGAAGACAAGGAGTAGGTGAGAGAGTTCAATGGGGTGTATCACATGTACATGAATAGATTGCTTCACTGCACATAGACCTTGTGACCTCAGAGGAACTCCTTGCTTCCAATGCTATGTAGGCCAAACCTTATACTCTCCCAACTGAGGAAAAGTGGGCTTTCTGGTCACTTAGTGGGAGTTCCCAATCTTAGAGCCATATTGCTATTTGGAAAGCAGCCACAATGTGCCCAGTGGGTGGTAAAACTTTGACGAAAGAAAGGAAGGGCAAGTTCACGTAGGGAAAATTGCTGAGAGCGGTTAATTAAAAGTAGAAGAGGAATTAGGCTCAGACCCTCTAAAGAGCGTTTGCATATTTATAGACTTGAGCTGTAGCCAAAGGGCTTGCTATATGATCAGGCAAATGGGCTGTAGATGACTGCATGATAAAAAAAATACTACATATAGAGCATTCGGATATGGAGTTCTCTATAGGAATTTAGAGGAAGAGTTAAACTGGTTCATATAGATGCCCACCAAAAAAATACTGTTGTCAGATAAGAAGGGATTGGAAAATAAAGGTAGATGCCTAGTTAGCTCATGAGTTCATAAATAAGTGGGCATGTGTGTGTTCAGGACATGTACTCACGGCCTGAGAGATGTCATGTACCTCTCTTCTAGGACCTGATGAAATGGCTAATGAGATAAAAACTGCCTACTGTTGATAGGAATGGAATCAATACCTGCAAAGCTGATTACACTGGACTTCAACCAATAGCCCCAAGAGCATAAACAGGTTTAACTGGGATTGGCACAGATTTCATTCTAGGCTTTTCTTACTCTACATTAAAAACAACCTTAGATAAAACAATTAAAATTTTGGAACAGCAAATTTTCTACCATTTCAGACCACCTGGATATATTTCTTTTGAAAAAATGTATGTACTTTACTGCTACCGATAACCAAAAACGGGAAAGAAATATAAAAGCATATGGACCTACAACATTTTAAAATTTTCATTGGAATAGGCAATTTGAATATTTATTATTCAATATAGGCAATGGGGACATCTTGAACAAATGGCTTAGATGTTTAAATGATTTGGTCCTCACATTTTCTGTGAAAAGAAGTAAGGCAAGGACTCTGCTGGAGAGACTTCTCAGATCAAGAGGTGAGAGTGTGTGAGGTGGTGAAGAATTAGGGCTGGCTATGAATGTACTATCATTACCAAATGGCAGCAGCAATGCTCTCATCCTTTATCTGTCATATTCTGCAAGATCTGCTTACAGATAGGATAAATGGGGAAATTAGCAAGGCTGCTACTATGTCCAGCCCTATATGCGAATAGCACATTTGGGTCAGCAAGTCCACCAGGAGGCACAATAAATGAAAACAAGGGAAAATAATAGTAAGTGGAATAGGAACTCATAAGTGATTCACAATCCCAGAAAGGGATGCAATCATAATATTTCCACAAGAGTAACTAAAAACAAGAGAATAATATCTTACCAATGCTCTCATATCTGGCACTGATGAATGGCTGATTTTTGTGGGCAGTGGGGAAGACCCTTAACTTACCTTCTCTAGAGAAGTAGAATTGAATGCTTGTTGATACATGAGCTCTGCCTAGCAACTCCACCAGTACGATATGGGAAAAAGAGCATCCTGAATACTCAAAATACCTGTAGGCTACTCCAACTATTATTCAGTGTATTGTGTTTAGACTATAAGAGCATGAATAATTGAATAATTACTCTAATGAAACTCCATACCTGTCAATAACGATGACAAAGAACTGATACCATCACCCAGGAAAGACTTTTAATTATAATGAAATTCGATATATTTAAAGTTTAGTTCTAGAAGAAGTGATTGAGGGCTGGGGTAATTTATGCTGAGATGTTACAGGATTGTTGGCTCTTATTGTTCTCTAATGGTCCAGTTCTGTGAATAAAAAAGGACATTGTCATTGCCATGGGGCAGTTAGTTAGGATTGAAGAGATAAATAAACAATACAGTACACTATGACCCTTGACATCAGGCTCTATGAAAATCTGTACTATAATATATGGGACATGGTTATGTCCACAGACCAGAGAGAATCCACAATTTACAGAACAAGGGCCTCTAAATACCACCCCAGTTGCTCTGAGCGTATGCACTATATAAAACATGGTTTCTGTTAGGAATGAATAGAGACTGATGCTGTCATTTTACTGATGGCTAGTGTGCCACATATCCCTTTTATTTATCTGCCACAGCACTACAGGTAATACAATATGTGTAGGTCTATAGGTAGAATTAAGTACTTAATGATGACCTCCAGGATGAGAGAAACATTTGAGGGGCAAATTCAAAAGGCCAAGTGATATAAAAACTTTTATAACAGGTTTGCTAGAAAAATAATCATAAGTTTACCCTTAAAACATTTGAAATGCCTTCACCAACATGTGCTTTTTAAAAAGTTTAAATAACTCCTGATGCTGGAGTTAAAAGAGTGAGTAAAAAAAAAAACAACTCAAAGAAACTTGAAAGGATATGGTTACAGTTAGCACGCTTTATAGAGAAAATTCCTCCTACACACTAAATCGTTCAACTTCTGGTTGTTAAGGGGCTTAGGAGCTTCATTATTTAATATAACATAGTCCATAAAATTAAAAAAGAAAAATTATAAAAAGTTCCTGATAAGTATTCATCAAAGAGATGTCAAATGAGGTCAGAAGGTGGACTGGTAAGGAAAAGGTTAGTGGCAGGCCTACAGTAGATTACACCCCTTTATTGTGAATGTGCAGAAAAAAAAGGAGATGAAATCTTCTGGTAAACATGCTAGTGGAAAACTTCCTGGCAAACACATTAGCAGCAAGTGTCCTCATCTTTAGAATGTTGTTAGGAGGATATAACTAGTCTGTCTAGAATCAATCATCATAAACAAACACGAAGTATATGAATTTCATGGCTCCCTGGAAAATATAATGTAAGCCATGCAACTGTTATAATATAAAAGGAAAATGTTTCATGACCAAATAAGCTTCCTTCTGATAAGTTATAAGATCATATACTTCATTTAGAGGTCTGATATGTAAAAGTGAGTCTGCTGTACATCCTAATGCATCAAGAAGGGAATACTGTTGGCAGTCCCGAACCTCTGCTTCTGTGTGTTTTGTAATGATTAGCATCATGGAAATTATTACCAAAGATTGATACTGGGTAATTTTTAAAGTGAAGAGATTAAGAGGATTGTAGGAGTTTCAGAAAGAGGGGATAGGTAAAATGATGGTGAGGTTATAATTTAAAAGGCAATAACTAAAAATTTTCCCCGATCTAAGAAAGACAAAATCTTTCAGATTTAAAAATCTACAGAGTGTTGACATGGACTGACTAAAATAAATATATCTAATCAAAGTTTAGCCTATCATGTAAAAAGATTTTCCTAAAAGCTACTGAGAGAACAGGCAGATTGCCTACACGAAAATAAGACCTAGATTGATATCATACATTTCATCTGAAACAAGAAGGAAAATAACTTTAAATTTAAAATACTACGCTCAGTTAAACAGTCATTTAAGAGAGAAACAGAGATATTTCCAGATATGTATGAACTCATAAAGTTTACCACAGTACCGAGTGCCCTGCTGAACAAATCAATTTCTAAGCTGGAGAAATAAGTCAAGAGAAAGAAGTAAAAGGCATCCAAATTGGAAAGGAAGAAGTTAAATTGTCCCTGTTTGTAGACAACATCTCTAATATAGAAAACCCTAAAGACTCCACCAAAAACTGTTAAAACTAACAAACAAATTTACTGAATTTGCAGGATACAAAATTGACAGCAAGTGTCAATAGTATTTCTATACACTAACAAGAGTGATCTTAAAAAAATCAAGAAAACATCCCATTAATTCTAGCTATCAAAAATAAAAATAAAATAAAATATTTAGAAATATATTCAGCCAAGGAGGTGAAAGACTTGTATATTGAAAACTATAAAATATTGATGAAAGAAATTGAAGAAGACAGAAATAAATGGAAAAAAATTCTGCGTTCACAAATTAGATGAATTAATATTGTTAAAATGTCCATATAAGCCAAAACTATTTACAGGTTCAATACAACGCTTATCAAAATTCCAATGACATTTTTCACAGAAATAGAAAAGATAATTCTAAATGGAACTACAAAAGATCCTGAATAACCAAAGCAATCTTGAGCAAAAAAAAACAAAGCTGGAGGCATCACGCTACCTGATTTCAAAATACACCACAAAGCTATCAATCAAAACATCATGGTACTACATAAAACAGACACAGACCAATGGGAAACAACAGAGATCCCAGAAATAAACCCACACATTATGGTAAGTTGACTTTTTACAACAATGCCAAGGTCACACATGATAGAGAAAGGACAGTCTCTTCAATAA
Organism: Homo sapiens; assembly: GCF_000001405.40. NCBI lineage: Eukaryota > Metazoa > Chordata > Mammalia > Primates > Hominidae > Homo > Homo sapiens. The sequence goes on along the minus strand of NC_000004.12, from coordinate 157,190,315 downwards.
GTGGTGTTGGGAAAACTGGGCATCCAAAATTAAACCCTCATTTCACATCATATTTAAAAAACTGAAAATTCATTCAAAACTTAAATGTAAGAACTGAAACTATAAAACTACTGGAAGAAAACATAGGAGAAAAACTCTAGAACAGTGAATTGGGAAATAGTTTTTTAGATATTACCTCCCAAACACAAGAAACAAAAGCGAAAATAGACAAATGGGAGTGTATCAAATGAAAAACCTCTGCACAGCAAAAGAAACCATCAACAAGGTGAGGAAAAGTTTAGTAGCAAGGCTACAGTAGATTACTTCCCTTTATGGTGAATGTGCAGGAAAAAAAGGAGATCAAATAAGATCAAAGGGGACATCTGCAGAAATAGAAAGCATACTTACAATATATCTGATAAGTGATAAAGATCCAAAATATAAGAAACTCAATAGCAAGACAAAAACCTAATTTAAAAATGGGCACAGGGCCTGAATAGACATTTCTCAAAAGAAAATATACAAATGGCCAAAGCTATGCAACAAATGCTCAACATCACTAATCAGAGAAATACAAACTAAAACCTCAATCAGATATCATCTCATGTCTGCTAGAATGGCTATTATCACAAAGATGATATATAACAAATGCTGGTGAAGATGTGGAAGAAAGAGAACCTTTGTTCACTATTGGTGGGAATATAAATTAGTGCAGTCATTGTGTAGAGCAGTCTCGTTATAATGTGTCATGGCAAAGTCCTTTTTGTGTTGTATTTTCTTCAGGGTCTCCTAGTCTCCTTTATCTGAGTATCTATTTCTCTTGCTTGACTTGAAAAGGTTTCAGCCAAGCATGGTGGCTCATGCCTGCAATCCCAGCACTTTGGGAGGCTGAGGAGGGCAGATCACCTGAGGTCAGGAGTTTGAGACCAGCTGGCCAACATGGTGAAACCCCGTCTCTACTAAAAATACAAAAATTAGCCAGGTGTGGTGGTAAACACCTGTAGTCCCAGCTACTAGGGAGGCTGAGGCAGGAGAATCACTTGAACCAGGGAGACGGAGGTTGCAGTGAGGCAACACTGCACCACTGCACTCCAGACTGGGTGACAGAGCAAGACTCTATCTCAAAAAAAAAAATGGGGAGGGGCTTCATCTATTATTTCACTAAATACATTTTCTAAACCTTTTGTTCTCTCTTCACCTTCTGGGACATCAGTAATTTGAACATTTGGTTGCATTTTGGTGTCCTCTATGTCACAGAGGCTTTGCTTATTCTCTTTTTATTATTTTTTCTTTATTTTTATCTGTCTGGGTTACTTTAAAAGATCTGTCTTCAAGATCTGATTTTCTTTCTTCTCCTTGATCTAGTCTATTACTGAAACATTCAAATATATTTTATATTTCATTCCATAAATTCTTTAGTTCCAGAATTTCCTGAATTGTTTTCCTCATTGGTTTTTGTTTTTGTTTTCAAAATTCTCTTATATCTCACTGAGCTTCTTTAGTATCAAAATTTTGAATTTTTTTGGGGGGGATTTCATGAATTTCTTTTGGATTGGGATCTGTTGCCAAGAAATTGTTGTGTTTCTTTGCGGGTGTCATATGCCTTCCTTTTTCGTGTTTCTTGTATCCTTACATTGATATTGACACATTTAGTATAAACGTTGCTTCTTCCAATTTTTTGAATTTGCTTGTGTAAGGAGGAACTTTTTCCTGAAGATGTTCCTATGGTGTTGGTTGAGCAGGGCACTTTGGATAGTATCATCTCTGTATGATTTCTTTGACTATAAACAGCATCAGTTGTGTCTGTGATTTTTTTTTTTGGGGGGTGGCTTAGGGTGCAGTTGTTAGTGGAGACTGGTGAAGTTTTTTGGGGACTGAGAGGCTGGGTGGGCCTGTCTTCAGTCCCCAGTGATGGCAGTAGTGGGCTGAAGGAGTCTGTTCTTGTGTCCCAGGGTGGTGTATGCTAGCACCAGTGTTAGCATGTCCAAGCAGGCTAATTCTTGGACCTTCTGGTGGCTTGTGCAGGTACTGGGAATGGTAGCAGTGGCCACATCAAAGGAAACCACCAACAGAGTGAAGAGACAAACTACAGAATGGGAAAAAATATTTACAAACACTGTATCTGATAAGTGGTTAATATCCAAAATATATAAGAAACTTAATAACAAGAAAACAACCCAATTTAAAATATGGGCACAGGACCTGAATAGATATTTCTCAAAAGACGGCATAGAAATAGCCAAATATATGCAAATACCACTGGCTGTGGTATGCAGGGGCCAAGCTGCTGGTGGAAGGCTTAGGTGGAGGTGGCAGCAGCTGCAATGTGACAATGTTACTGGGAAGGGTGGCTTTGCTTTCTTTAGGATCAACCTTAGGTAGGCAGTGGGGGAGGGTGGGACATGGGCTTCACTTGCACCTTAGCCCACAGCAGTCTGCAGCCCTGGCAGTTGCAGGCAGTGAAATTGGTCCTCAGGATGCATGAAAATACAAGGTCATCTCTCTTCATGGAGGACTGGGTTTGCTGCCTGTGGCCCCCTCCTCAGCCTTGGTTGCAGAGCTGGATGCAGTCCACTGTGGTCTGGGCTTTTAAAATAGTGCCATGCTACTGCTGTTTAGGATTTGGGGTTTGTGAGATCCAATGTGAGCTCTGCCTCTGGAGCAATGCCTTCAGGCAGTTTCTGGGAAGCTCTCTGTGTTAGACTCAATGCCCCATGATTGTCCAAGGTCAAGGAGCTCTCCTGTGGCTAGGACTGTAGAAGTCCAATGCAAGTCGAGAATGTAGACCTCTTGGAGTCTCTCACTCACCCTTTCCCTGCACTGGGGAGCCTCTCCTGGCTGCCAGTCAGTCCTGGCCTATGAGGCTGCCTGGCTTCCCTCTTCTTCCTTGCTTTGGGATTTCCTGACATCTCTCTGTTGAATTCCAGTGTTCTTTCTTGGATGATCTATTTGAAGTGTGATTATCTACTCACTATTTTGGTTCTTCTTAGTGGAGGAGGCAAGTAGAAAATACCTCTACACAGCAATCTAGAAGTCCCTTTCAGGTACTTTTTTCTTAATTTTTTTTCAAAATTGCTGATGTGTGTGTCCTTTAATAGAGGGATTCTACTTGTAGTTACTACACAAAATCACAGACATAAATACTGGGAGATAGACACAAAGCTGTTTATTGAAGCTTTGTTTAAAATAATGAAAAATGTTTGAACAAGGTAAAGATTCTTAAATAAAATGATACATGTATATGAGCGAATAGAGTATGTATTTATATGACTAGTTGTAAGAACACTTTGTGAGTAATACATTTATGTAAATTTAAAAATGCTAATATTTGTATATATATTTTCTTTCAAATATTTTAATTTTTTAAAAATACAAGCAAACTAATAATCATGGATGACTCTAGGTGTGATTGCAGAGGACCAAGATAAATGATGGCAGGTGATCACAACTTCAGATATACCTAAGACAATGTATATATTTTCAATTACTTATTGAGAAAAATAAACAAAGTTTAAATTAAATATAACAAAAAGTTAAAGTGATTTGATTCTCAGTGTTGAAATATGGGTAATTCTTATCTTTACAATTTTTCTTATTCCACTATCACCTCTTCCTAGCTCTCTTTTTTTCTCTTTCATACACAGAGGCACTTACACAGAATGTTTAAAAGTATAATAAAAAGGTAGATCAATCATCAAAAGAAAGGAGCTTGCATTAGTAGAGAAATAACCTGGGAACATTATTAGGTAGCAGGAAAAATGTGAATTTAAGACCCATATCCCACATATGGTGAGAGAAAATAAACAGGGACTGCTTGAATTAGACACAGTTTAATATCTATTTCACAGTTTGATATCTAACTTGAACAGTTCTCTGGAGAGTTCTGATTAAGTACAGGCCAGGCAAAGGAAGGAATGAAATACATAAAGCTGGCCGGGCGCGGTGGCTCACGCCTGTAATCCCAGCACTTTGGGAGGCCGAGGCGGGCGGATCACGAGGTCAGGAGATCGAGACCATCCTGGCTAACACGGTGAAACCCCGTCTCTACTAAAAATACAAAAAATTAGCCGGGCGTGGTAGCGGGCGCCTGTAGTCCCAGCTACTCGGGAGGCTGAGGCAGGAGAATGGCGTGAACCCGGGAGGCGGAGCTTGCAGTGAGCCGAGATCGCGCCACTGCACTCCAGCCTGGGCGACAGAGCGAGACTCCGTCTCAAAAAAAAAAAAAAAAAAAAGAAAAGAAATTCATAAAGCTTAGGGATGTGAAGCTTTGTACTGACATAGGCATTCCAGAGGAAAACATGCAGATAGATGGGAACTAGAGGAGAACTGGGCCACAAACGTAGAAAAAGAGTTGGGATTTGGGCTGTAATCAAAGGAGGCAACTCATGAATATTTGCCAAGATAGGACAACCTAACAAGGCAGGATATTCTGCGTGTCCCCAAGCCTCCTGGAGAACAGGAGTAATGTGGCCTCTGTGGAAGGAGTTAGACTTTAGCCTGAATTTTGTATAAATCTAAAAGAACTAGACTAGGTGAGTAGGGAGACAACAGGGTATGCTTCCTTCCAGAACCATTTGGCACATAGCAAACAGGAATTTTTCTTGATGTATGAAATGAAGGGGGATGTGGGGGAGGGTGTAGGTCATTTTATGAGGTGGGGAAGAATGAGCCTGGGATACATACAAGAATGAGAGTGTTTTTAAATGCATAAACACACAGATAAATAAATGGAACAATCTGTTGAGACTAAGTTTTTTTTCTCCATGGGCCATCTGGTTCATATCAATTAGCACACTCTTATTTTATTTGATCTTTAACCAGGCATTCTCTGAAAGAGCTCCTAATGTAACCTTAATGTGAAACTGTTCCATATATACATTCAATAGATACCCTGCAAGACTTCAAAAAGGGCAAAATACAGTATGCCTTAGTTGCAAATAGAATACCAATCAATGATGTTGTACTATGTGTATATACACATATATATAATATACAAATATATACACACATGAACATATATGTTCACCTACACCACTCTAATCTAACTTGTTATTTTGTAGGTACAATACACACCAAAGCAGGCAAATAAATGTATTCTAAATATATGTTAAAAACATACTAACTGACTTATCCCTAAAATTTAAGAGGTTAACATACTTTAGGTCAAATTTCAATGACATTTTCTATAGAACAGGTAAAATGATCTGTCTTGGTTAATTTTTGATACTGTTTACCTAAAGTAATTAAATTACACCTAACGTGTGTGTGTGTGTGTGTGTGTGTGTGTGTGTGTGTGTTTCTGTGACAGGGTCTTTCTCCACCTCCCAGCCTCAAACGATCCTCTTGCCTCAGCCTCCTGAGTAACTGGGACCACAGGTGTGCACCACCACACACAGCTAATTTTTGAAATTTTTCGTAGAGATGGGGGTCTCCCTATGTTGCCCAGGATGGTCTCAAACTCCTAGGCTCAAGCCATCCTCCAGCCTCCCAAAGTGTGTAGCAAATATGTTTTTAATGAAATCCTTCATTAACAATTCTTCCATATCTTTTGGGGCTTGTCTCAGTTTTGATTAATTGTTTTATACAGGACATCTCAAACCTTCCCTTTCCCTTTGGTTAAAAAATGAAATTTCCCTTTGATTAAAAAAAAATCGGTGGCTTCAGGAGGCCTTGTAAAGACCCTAAATATTCTAGTAATGGGACAAAGTTTTGCAATATTTTCAAACTACTTATTCTTTTTCTATTCTAGAAGTTATGATACCCTCTTCCCATGTCTCCTCTATTAAAATGTATATGTAGTTGAAACTTCCTAATTTAGTAGTTTAATTTTACTTTAGTGTCTATTCAGCATTATACTTGTAAAGTGTTTAACAACTGTTTCTTCAATAAATAGGTAAATATTGTGGCTATAATATAAAATATATTGCCTTAAGGAGAATTAAACATGATTCTATCAGTTAGAATTTAACCTCATTCATTTTAAGTATGAGTTCAGAATGTAACACATTATCATTTATACTAAATGTTGTTAATTGGATAGTTTGATTAATTGGGAATACCATTAAGTTTAGTAGTTAGATTATGAAACTTCAAAGAATTAGAATACAGTAAAGTATATTAACACCTCAATTCTGTTTAATATAACAAAATATTTCCACTATGTTTTAGAAAAAAGGCAGAATCATGGAGTTTTTAGGCTACTTGTTATGGGCATTATTTTTTATTAGTATCATACATGCATGAATTAATGAGATTAAGCTCCATTTTTACTGCATGTTTAACATATCTAGGAAGTTTTTCTTCTTTTTATTCTTTCTTTCAAAAGTTCAGAAGTATTCTCACTTATTTTTATTTTTCTAACATGTAAAATATGACCCTTGAATATGTGGATTCTGAATTTCTAGAATTATTATATTACATTGCCCACATTGCATTACTAACATTTAATTGTAGACTCTAAGTAAATATTTTAATGACTCCTTTATACAACCAAGAATATCTTAGTATGTATTTTCTAGTTCCTTCTACTGTACCCATCCTTAAGTTATTTTGTATCCTAAATTGATATCAATGATTATGCATGCTAAAATACCTTATGAGTAGAGGTAATATGCATCTGTTGTCAAAATGTCAGTGGGTTTTATAGCCTAACACTCATTATTTTGATAAAGAAATTTAGAAAAAAAAAGAAATGTCAGTAGCAGATTTGATGCTAGAAATTATAGTAGCAGTAAGAGGTAAAACTAGATAATAACTATAATTTTTGTACACTTATGTACTAGGAACTCTGTTGTAAACTTTACATATGAAAATTTACTATATTAAATTCTCACAATCATGTGATGAGGTAGTCATCATTACATATATTTCATAAGTGAGGAAACTGAGGCTCACAGATCTTAAATAATTTGCCAAGGTTTATAAAACTAGTGAGACTCTAGCCTAGGCTGTTTCCAAGTCCTTGCTTGAATCACTATAAAAGACTCACACATTGTAATCAATTATTTTTATATTATGTTAATAATGTATTATTATCAATAATTGTTTATATTACTCCCTTTTTAAAAATAGGGTAACGGAAGATAATAAATATTCTTTGACAAAGTTTGCAAGGAGGTTTAAATGGCAAACCTCAAACTGTAGCTCGGGTACTATCACTTCCAATCCAAAGGTCTTTCTACTGCCTTCTCCTGCCTCCTTACATGTTTATGTGTCATATTGGCTTTGGGCTTAGCTTAGATCAGTAGTTTATTTTGCAGTGGTGCATGTTTCACAAATATTTCTTAGAAAATTTCACATAAATATTTGGATATTTAAATTAATTCATCTAAAAATTTGAAAGCTTCTAAGATGCCAGTGGACAGAGTGGAGCCTAGTTATTTTTGAAAGAAAGAGCTTTTGAGCCTGCAAATGAATGAACCAGAAAACTGCAGCTGTGTTTAGAAAGAGGTTTTTATAATAGTCCAAGGCAGAATTTATTAGGTATTCCCTCTTAATGAGTTCCATATAATATTCTCTCAGTTAATAAATTAAAGAGCATCTTTGTAGCTGACGAGCCTGCAGATTCTAACTTAGACTTATGAAAAATGCTGGAGATTCTTACTAAAGCAAGCAGATATGATGCTGCCATTGTATGCCTTAGAACGTGTAGAAATTCATGTTCTAAGGAGCTGTAAGATGTGAGGTTGTAGTCTTCAAATAGAAGCAGATAAGTATTTACTATTGTTAAATGCCATTTTCCTTCTGCCACATTTTCAACTCTGACACCTAAAACAACATCCCATGGGAACATCCAATAAACTGAGTTGAGCTTTGCAAGGGCTAAAATCTTTTGCTTCTTTATCTTGTTTACCATTTCACAAAAAGGGGTTTCTGTTATGTGTCATCAATGGGATAGGGTGAGGCAATGCTAATTGACTAATAAAATCTCTATTCACTGAGGTAATTGCTAAAGGACCTGTAGTTTGATTGCAATTCTTGCTAAACCATGGGGGTTCTACCCTCCTTTTGGCCACATCACTGTCAATGATATTAATTGAACTGCAATTGCTTCAGGCTGCAAATTGGGATTTACTGAAAATTGTTTCAAGTTATAGGATTAAGATCAGATGTGGGTTTTAGTTAAGAAACAAACATTAGCTAAAGTGCATTACCTCAACAGCTAAGGAAAACTTGCTTTGCTGCTCATTATTTTCTCAACAATGTTAACTAGGAAATAAAAATCAAATAACACTTTAAGGTTTTTCATTTGCAATGTTTCTGCATTTTACAATTCGTATTTTTATTTACTTTTAGTAAATTTCTAGCTTCAGAATCCTATGATGGATTGTAAAATTGCCTTTAGCCATATTACAGTATTTTTATTCTTTTTTAAAACAGGTTTTGTTCTTTTAGACAAATGACTTTGTTTCTTCTTATGTTTTTAAAATAATATATATTATATTCTGATTTGCATTATAGCGATTTGTATATTTAGTGTATCTTCCTTCTCACATGATTCACTCTATATCATTTAAAAGCAGAAGCCAGGTTTTATTCATCTTTTCAGTTTTTAGCTAACACACACCTTTAATATATGAAGTAGCCAATAAATATTAACTAGTTTACAGTTTTCTTGTTCAGTATTCACTTAGATGATTTAAAAAGAACTGCTTTGGGTATAATATGTGAGAGTTGAGACATTTGGAATGATATGTTTGGAATACAGAAAATCCAAGGGGAACAGAATTCATAAACTTTCTCATTGTTCTCGTTAATTAAGGACAAATTAAAATGATGTAAATGCATATATAATATATATCTGTATACATACATAGAAAGAATGCAAATGTTATCAACGTATAAAATATCAAGTTTATGCATATATGGTACATACAGATAGTATAACCCATTTTGGTTATGGCATCCATATTTTCCATTAATATTAATCACAGGAAAGTCTCCAAGTATTACTCCAGTGATGTGGCTGATGCTTTGAAAGAACTCGACCCTAATCTCTTAAATCGCTAAGATTAGCTTTACCAAAAAATGGGAGTGAATGCTAAATTATTAATACATTGCACAAACATATGCAATTATTTAAAAAATAATTTGAATAAATCTGCTATTGTAAAGCAAGGTAATAATATTCTACCGAGTAAGCATTGAGTAAAGGCTATAAAGTACTTCAAGCTATTTCTCATTTTAGGCTTGAGATTTTAAAATTTTATACCTATTTATATAAATGGAAATTTTCAGTAGTATAAATAGTAACTGAGTTGATTTTAAAGAAGCTTAATTTGAGCACTGCAGATGTAATGGAAAATATTTTCACTTCATTTTTCACTAGAGATGAAACCATAAGATTTTAAAAAGTCACATATTTTCACTTGTATGTTGGAGCTAAAATAGTGGATGTCATGAAGATAGAGAGTAGATTTTGGGGAGGAGCCAAGATGGCTGAATAGGAACAGCTCCGGTCTACAGCTCCCAGAGTGAGCAACGCAGAAGACGGGTGATTTCTGCATTTCCATCTGAGGTACTGGGTTCATCTCACTAGGGAGTGCCAGAGAGTGGGCGCAGGTCAGTGGGTGTGCGCACCATGCGCGAGCAGAAGCAGGGCGAGGCATTGCCTCACTTGGGAAGCACAAGGGGTCAGGGAGTTCCCTTTCCCAGTCAAAGAAAGGGGTGACAGACAGCACCTGGAAAATCGGGTCACTCCAACCGGAATACTGCACTTTTCCAACAGGCTTAAAAAACGGCGCACCTGGAGATTGTATCCCGCACCTGGCTCGGAGGGTCCTATGCCCACGGAGTCTCGCTGATTGCTAGCACAGCAGTCTGAGATCAAACTGCAAGGCGGCAGCGAGGCTGGGGGAGGGGCGCCCGCCATTGCCCGGGCTTGCTTAGGTAAACAAAGCAGCTGGGAAGCTCGAACTGGGTGGAGCCCACCACAGCTCAAGGAGGCCTGCCTGCCTCTGTAGGCTCCACCTCTGTGGGCAGGGCACAGACAAACAAAAAGACAGCAGTAACCTCTGCAGACTTAACTGTCCCTGTCTGACAGCTTTGAAGAGAGCAGTGGTTCTCCCAGCACGCAGCTGGAGATCTCAGAACGGGCAGGCTGCCTCCTCAAGTGGGTTCCTGACCCCGGACCCCCGAGCAGCCTAACTGGGAGGCACCCCCCCAGCAGGGGCAGACTGACGCCTCACATGGCCGGGTACTCCAACAGACCTGCAGCTGAGGGTCCTGTCTGTTAGAAGGAAAACTAACAAACAGAAAGGACATCCACACCAAAAACCCATCTGTATATCACCATCATCAATGACCAAAAGTAGATAAAACCACAAAGATGGGGAAAAAACAGAGCAGAAAAACTGGAAACTCTAAAAAGCAGAGTGCCTCTCCTCCTCCAAAGGAATGCAGTTCCTCACCAGCAACGGAACAAAGCTGGATGGAGAATGACTTTGACGAGCTGAGAGAAGAAGGCTTCAGACGATCAAATTACTCTGAGCTATGGGAGGACATTCAAACCAAAGGCAAAGAAGTTGAAAACTTTGAAAAAAATTTAGAAGAATGTATAACTAGAATAACCAATACAGAGAAGTGCTTAAAGGAGCTGATGGAGCTGAAAACCAAGGCTCGAGAACTACGTGAAGAATGCAGAAGCCTCAGGAGCCGATGCGATCAACTGGAAGAAAGGGTAGCAGCGATGGAAGATGAAATGAATGTAATGAAGCGAGAAGAGAAGTTTAGATAAAAAAGAATAAAAAGAAACGAGCAAAGCCTCCAAGAAATATGGGACTATGTGAAAAGACCAAATCTACGTCTGATTGGTGTACCTGAAAGTGACGGGGAGAATGGAACCAAGTTGGAAAACACTCTGCAGGATATTATCCAGGAGAACTTCCCCAATCTAGCAAGGCTGGCCAACATTCAGATTCAGGAAATACAGAAAACGCCACAAAAATACTCCTCAAGAAGAGCAACTCCAAGACACATAATTGTCAGATTCACCAAAGTTGAAATGAAGGAAAAAATGTTAAGGGCAGCCAGAGAGAAAGGTCGGGTTACCCTCAAAGGGAAGCCCATTAGACTAACAGTGGATCTCTCGGCAGAAACTCTACAAGCCAGAAGAGAGTGGGGGCCAATATTCAACATTCTTAAAGAAAAGAATTTTCAACCCAGAATTTCATATCCAGCCAAACTAAGCTTCATAAGTGAAGGAGAAATAAAATACTTTACAGACAAGCAAATGCTGAGAGATTTTGTCACCACCAGGCCTGCCCTAAAAGAGATCCTGAAGGAAGTGATAGACATGGAAAGGAAGAACCGGTACCAGCCACTGCAAAATCATGCCAAAATGTAAAGACCACTGAGACTAGGAAGAAACTGCATCAACTAACGAGCAAAATAACCAGCTAACATCATAATGACAGGATCAAATTCACACATAACAATATTAACTTTAAATGTAAATGGACTAAATGCTCCAATTAAAAGACACAGACTGGTAAATTGGATAAAGAGTCAAGATCCATCAGTGTGCTGTATTCAGGAAACCCATCTTACGTGCAGAGACACATATAGGCTCAAAATAAAAGGATGGAGGAACATCTACCAAGCAAATGGAAAACCAAAAAAGGCAGGGGTTGCAATCCTAGTCTCTGATAAAACAGACTTAAACCAACAAAGATCAAAAGAGACAAAGGAAGCCATTACATAATGGTAAAGGGATCAATTCAACAAGAAGAGCTAACTATCCTAAATAGATATGCACCCAATACAGGAGCACCCAGATTCATAAAGCAAGTCCTTAGAGACCTACAAAGAGACTTAGACTCCCACATAATAAGAATGGGAGAATTTAACACCCCACTGTCAACATTAGACAGATCAACGAGACAGAAAGTCAACAAGGATACCCAGGAATTGAACTCAGCTCTGCACCAAGCGGACCTAATAGACATCTATAGAACTCTCCACCCCAAATCACCAGAATATACATTTTTTTCAGCACCACACCACATCTATTCCAAAATTGACCACATACTTGGAAGTAAAGCTCTCCTCAGCAAATGTAAAAGAACAGAAATTATAACAAACTATCTCTCAGACCACAGTGCAATCAAACTCAGGATTAAGAATCTCACTCAAAACCGCTCAACTACATGGAAACCGAACAACCTGCTCCTAAATGACTACTGGGTACATAACGAAATGAAGGCAGAAATAAAGATGTTCTTTGAAACCAATGAGAAAAAAGACACAACATGCCAGAACATCTGGGACGCATTCAAAGCAGTGTGTAGAGGGAAATTTATAGCACTAAATGCCCACAAGAGAAAGCAGGAAAGATCCAAAATTGACACCCTAATATCACAATTAAAAGAACTAGAAAACCAAGAGCAAACACATTCAAAAGCTAGCAGAAGGCAAGAAGTAACTAAAATCAGAGCAGAACTGAAGGAAATAGAGACACAAAAAACCCTTCAAAAAATTAATGAATCCAGGAGCTGGTTTTTTGAAAGGATCAACAAAATTGATAGACCGCTAGCAAGACTAATAAAGAAAAAAAGACAGAAGAATCAAATAGATGCAATAATCAATGATAAACAGGATATCACCACCAATCCCACAGAAATACAAACTACCATCAGAGAATACTACAAACACCTCTATGCAAATAAACTAGAAAATCTAGAAGAAATGGATAAATTCCTCGACACATACACTCTCCCAAGACTAAACCAGGAAGAAGTTGAATCTCTGAATAGACCAATAACAGGATCTGAAATTGTGGCAATAATCAATAGCTTACCAACCAAAAAGAGTCCAGGACCAGATGGATTCACAGCCGAATTCTACCAGAGGTACAAGGAGGAACTGGTACCATTCCTTCTGAAACTATTCCAATCAACAGAAAAAGAGGGAATCCTCCCTAACTCATTTTATGAGGCCAGCATCATCCTGATACCAAAGCTGGGCAGAGACACAACCAAAAAACAGAATTTTAGACCAATATCCTTGATGAACATTGATGCAAAAATCCTCAATAAAATACTGGCAAACCGAATCCAGCAGCACATCAAAAAGCTTACCCACAATGACCAAGTGGGCTTCATCCCTGGGATGCAAGGCTGGTTCAATATATGCAAATCAATAAATGTAATCCAGCATATAAACAGAACCAAAGACAAAAACCAGATGATTATCTCAATAGATGCAGAAAATGCCTTTGACAAAATTCAACAACCCTTCATGCTAAAAACTCTCAATAAATTAGGTATTGATGGGACGTATCTCAAAATAATAAGAGCTATCTATGACAAACCCACAGCCAGTATCATACTGAATGGGCAAAAACTGGAAGCATTCCCTTTGAAAACTGGCACAAGACAGGGATGCCCTCTCTCACCACTCCTATTCAACATAGTGTTGCAAGTTCTGGCCAGGGCAATTAGGCAGGAGAGGGAAATAAAGGGTATTCAATTAGGAAAAGAGGAAGTCAAATTGTCCCTGTTTGCAGACAACATGATTGTATATCTAGAAAACCCCATTGTCTCAGCCCAAAATCTCCTCAAGCTGATAAGCAATTTCAGCAAAGTCTCAGGATACAAAATCAATGTGCAAAAATCACAAGCATTCTTATACACCAACAACAGACAAACAGAGAGCCAAATCATGAGTGAACTCCCATTCACAATTGCTTCAAAGAGAATAAAATACCTAGGAATCCAACTTACAAGGGATGTGAAGGATCTCTTCAAGGAGAACTACAAACCACTGCTCAAGGAAATAAAAGAGGATACAAACAAATGGAAGAACATTGTATGCTCATGGGTAGGAAGAATCAATATCGTGAAAATGGCTATACTGCCCAAGGTAATTTATAGATTCAATGCCATCCCCATCAAGCTACCAATGACTTTCTTCACAGAATTGGAAAAAACTACTTTAAAGTTCATATGGAACCAAAAAAGAGCCCGCATCACCAAGTCAATCCTGAGCCAAAAGAACAAGGCTGGAGGCATCACACTACCTGACTTCAAACTCTACTACAAGGCTACAGTAACCAAAACAGCATGGTACTGGTACCAAAACAGAGATATAGATCAATGGAACAGAACAGAGCCCTCAGAAATAACACGACATATCTACAACTATCTGATCTTTGACAAACCTGAGAAAAACAAGCAATGGGGAAAGGATTCCCTATTTAATAAATGCTGCTGGCAAAACTGGCTAGCCATGTGTAGAAAGCTGAAACTGGATCCCTTCCTTACACCTTATACAGAAATCAATTCAAGATGGATTAAAGACTTAAACGTTAGACCTAAAACCATAAAAACCCTAGAAGAAAACCTAGGCTTTACCATTCAGGACATAGGCATGGGAAAGGACTTCATGTCTAAAACACCAAAAGCAATGGCAACAAAAGCCAAAATTGACAAATGGGATCTAATTAAACTAAAGAGCTTCTGCACAGCAAAAGAAACTACCATCAGAGTGAACAGGCAACCTACAAAATGGGAGAAAATTTTTGCAACCTACTCATCTGACAAAGGGCTAATATCCAGAATCTACAATGAACTCAAACAAATTTACAAGAAAAAAACAAACAATCCCATCAAAAAGTGGGTGAAGGACATGAACAGACACTTCTCAATAGAAGACATTTATGCAGCCAAAAAACACATGAAAAAATGCTCACCATCACTGGCCATCAGAGAAATGCAAATCAAAACCACAATGAGATACCATCTCACACCAGTTAGAATGGCAATCATTAAAACGTCAGGAAACAACAGGGGCTGGAGAGGATGTGGAGAAATAGGAACACTTTTACACTGTTGGTGGGACTGTAAACTAGTTCAACCATTGTGGAAGTCAGTGTGGCCATTCCTCAGCGATCTAGAACTAGAAATACCATTTGACCCAGCCATTCCATTACTGGGTATATACCCAAAGGACTATAAATCATGCTGCTATAAAGACACATTCACACGTATGTTTATTGTGGCATTATTCACAATAGCAAAGACTTGGAACCAACCCAAATGTCCAACAATGATAGACTGGATTAAGAAAATGTGGCACATATACACCATGGAATACTATGCAGCCATAAAAAATGATGAGTTCATGTCCTTTGTAGGGACATGGATGAAATTGGAAATCATCATTCTCAGTCAACTATCGCAAGAACAAAAAACTAAACACCGCATATTCTCACTCATAGGTGGGAACTGAACAATGAGAACACATGGACACAGGAAGGGGAACATCACACTCTGGGGCCTGTTGTGGGGTGGGGGGAGGGGGGAGGGATAGCACTGGGAGATATACCTAATGCTAGATGACGAGTTAGTGGGTGCAGCGCACCAACATGGCACATGTATACATATGTAACTAACCTGCACATTGTGCACATGTACCCTAAAACTTAAAGTCTATTAATTAAAAAAAATAAAAAAAATAAAAAATAAAAATAATAAAATAAAAAGTTTTGATTTTGATTCAAAAAAAAAAAAAAGAGTAGATTGCTGGTTACCAAAAGCCAGGAAGGTTAGCAGAGAGGAGTGGATGCAGGGAGGTTAATTAATGGGAACAAACATACAGTTAGAAGAAATAAGGCCTGGTATTTAATAGATCAGTAAGGTGTCTAGAGGTAACATTAATCTATTTTACATTTCAAAATAGTTGAAAGAGAACAATTCTAATGTTCTTAGCATAAAGAAAAGATAAATATTTAAGGTGATGAATATCCTAATTACCCTGAACTGATTTTATGCAAAGGTATCACATGTGCCCTCAAAATATGTACATCTATTATGTATCAATAAAAAAAGTAAAATTACCTAATGTTGAATAAATACACATTAGTTAAATAATTATTTGAAGACACTTAACATCCAAGCCTGGTCCACTTGAAAGAAATTGTGAAACGTAAAATTAACCACTTACTTCAAAGAAAAGGAACTGGCTGAACTTAGTACTCCAATCACTACTAAATGTGATATAAAACAGTCAAAATCAGTTTGAGAAGAGTTTAGGATATGAGAATAGTAGTAGTGTGAGAAATATCTGCAAAAATAAGCTAAACATTTAATAGGGATAATTTCATACGAGAGAGGATTTTTTAGTTCATGTGACAAAAGAAGACACTAAAGATGTTTGAGCAGAATGCCACGATCACAGCTCTATTTTACAGAAATTAACATCAGAAAATTAAACATGATCCTGGAATGAACCCTGAACAACAGCCAAAAATAGTGGAACAATTGGGAAATTTGAATTAATTCTCTAGATTCTAGCATTTTATCAATGTTAACTTCCTGATATTGATATCTTGTTCTACTATGGTTATGAAAGAAAATGCTCTTGTATTTTAGGAAACACTAATGTGTGTAGAGGTAAAGAAACATCATATCTGCAATTTTAATATTTCAACATAAAATATCTCATGCACACACAGTAGAGGGAGAAAAATAAAGTAAGTATGAGAAAGTATTTACATTTGGGGAATTTAGGTGAAGAGTAAACAGAAATTCTTCATTAGATTTTTTTTCAATATTTTTGAAAGTCTGAGACAATGTCAAAAAAGATTATTTAAAAAAGAAAAGTAATGTATCCACAACTTTAGACTAAGAGATTACTACTGTGGGAATTTGGGCATATCATGATGAAAAGCTACTTTAGCAGCTTTTTAGAGAGAAAATGAGAGCCTATCAGAATTTAATAGACACTTATCTTTCAATTTAGCAACTCCGCTTTCGGCATCAGCCTCATGGAAATATACGTATTTGTGCACAAAGACATTTACTGCAACTCTATTTTGTATTTGGAGGAAAAACTAAGTTTTTACTTAAAAAGAAATCAAATTAAGACATATTCATCCTATATAATAATAGCAGAAGCTCAATTTATGAACACCTAATATGTCCCAGGTGAGGACCTGGAAAAAACTCTAGGACATGTTAAATTTTAAAAATTGCAAAACCCTACATAAGGTAAAATCCCATTTGGGTAATATCTTATTATGTTACATTATCTTTTATATTTAAAAATTAGATAGATGTTGAAAATGCCTAGAATGAGTTCTGAATAGATACAAAACAATGATGACCTCTGGGGAAGAGACAGAATAGTTTGAAGGAAAAAGGCTATGGACAGCAACTTTAAATACTGACTCTAAATACATGTTTGTTTTGTAATATTCAACATATTCAGGTATTACCTATGCAACTAAAAAACAAAAATTACGAAGTTAGTTCAAAAATAGAGTTATATTAGCGTGAGACTGTAGACTGCTGAAAGAGTCTGATTACATAGAATGAGAAAACGAATTAGGAGGGTGTCAGTAGGAATGGAGAGGAGATGATAGGTATAAGAGGGAGAATTTATAGGACTTGATACTTAAAGGGACAGACTGTGTGAGAAAGGAAGATGAATTTAACATGGGCAACTGGATTAGCAATGGCTTTAACAGAAATAAAAAATGAGAGAACCTGATTTTTGAGATGATAATTTTTACTTTAAAGACACTGAATTTGAGGTATCCGCAGATGCTCCAGGTAGATATACTGTGAATCTCCTAGAAATATATAATACTGAAAGCACACAGATCAGAACTACTCTGGAGTTCTGTGACTAAATCTTTTAGAAGAATTATAAAACAACTGTCAGCAGACACTCATACTTCTTTGTTATGATCTTTTTCTAGTGTTCCATTTGTAGTTACACATACACACTTAATCCTGGGATAGCGATTCATATATACTTGGGTATTAAAATTGGTCTTAAGAGGCTGCAATATTATATTACAGAAAAGTAATTCATTTATGCTATTTTCCACAAATAAATTTCTATATAATGAGATACGTCTTCAATATGGTACATCTTCCACTTAAAACTCTATATCTAGATCAAATTCCCTAATATGAATGAAACTTGCCAAAATAAAGGAATCAGATTATAAGCAAATATAATTATTACAAGTAAACATTTTAAGTGATTTAAATCCTATTCATTTTTTTTTTCTTACCACAGTTCCATTAAAATGCTCTTGCCCTGGGTCTTAGAAGATATTAAGTCCATCAACAGGGTTAACTGTAGCACTGTAAAATTATCCGGATATCACCTTTACAACTAGAGGGTGCTGAAGGACTACAAAGGATTCGATTATATCCCATTAAAAATAATATAATCAGTGAGAATCTTTTAAAAATGCAAGGCTTCAATAAATTGAATAGCACTGAATTACATATGGCAATTTGCATAAACAATACTTTATTATTGAATTTGCCATACAAACTCGTAGCTGCAACAAAACTCTCCAGATAATGTAAATATACTTCTTTAGTCTTATGTTTATCTATGTGAATTACTGATAGTTTTATTTCAGATATGGCAGAAAGACAAAGGTGCACTGGATGTGATATTAAGAAATGGTGGTCTCATAAAATGAGACTTAGTGCTTACTTTTGGATTGGAACAAGTTCAAAGTAAGTAAATCTCAGTTGTCTAGACTTTTAACAAGAAAGAAAATACAAGTAGAAGTGAAGTCTAACACAAACAAAGCTATTATTTATTTAATCTCTAAATATTTTGTAACTAATCCCAAAATATTCAAATAAAAAAATAAATTCAGTAAACATTTTTAATTTTACTTAAAATATGCAAGCATTTTAATAAAATAAAAAAGTTAAAATCTTTTAATAGTTATGGATTTCTTTTTCAACTTATTACTTCCCCTTGGTTTCTTAAAAATGATGTAAAATCACATATCTATTACTGCATTCCAATTTAAAAGATGTATGACTCATTTTAAGGCACAATGTTTTGTGTAATATGTACCAACAAATGAAATCCATGAAAATACATTTAGGTTTTAAGGTGGATTAAATAGAATTTTGTTTATCCTAAATATTTCGTCAATAAGGTATCTTTTTTTATTTTGTCAGAATTCAGTATACAGTTACATAAATATAGGTTTCCCTTTGTTTAAAAATGCTCACTGTGTATTACTATCTGATATTTTTGACAACACAAGCACACTTTAAAACGAGCTGATTTTACAAATTAATATATTTTGAACTTTATTTCTCCACAGAGCCTGTATAATTATAACAGATATATTTCTACTTACAAAGTTTAAACAATATGTAATACAACCTTTTTAAATCTGTGATAATACCATCTAAAATTTTACAAGAATAAGATGGCTTTCTTTGAAAGTTACAAGGAAGGAAATTTGAAATACTACATACATTAGAATGGTGACCATAGCAGGATTCAGCGTGCATATCATTTTATTATCAGAATTATCTGTAGTATTTGCAGTTTACACTAACTGAAGAGAATTGTATGGATTATATTATGTAGTATGCTTGTCCTTCATTTGTTACTAAGCAATATGTTCACTATACATATATACATCGTTATTAGAGCACAGATATTACATGATCATGCTGCCATTCAAAATTAAGGTGCCACAGTTTTATTACAATCAAATGGCATCCAAAATGCAATGTTGCTATGAAAATTCAAAAGTTCTCACAGATTGGCATTTATGAAAGGAGTAGGTCACAATGAAATGGAATTTTATTTTGTACAAATGGAAAAGATTTATCATAAATATATAGACCAATATATAACATTGAAGAACAAGAAGCAGAAAGGAAACAATGCTCTTGCATAAAGATCAATTCGCTTTGCTGCTGTTGGAATAACAGGTTTCGCAGGGGGAGGCTTCTTGTTGTTCTTAGCCTGAGATTTCCCAAGTCCGTTGTTAACTTCAATGGGTTTTCCATAGCAGTCATAATTGGATAGTTCAAAATCTCTTGGTAAGCTTCCAACAATGCTGAAGTCATTAGATCTCAGATCAGACTTAGAAGTACAAACTTTTTTGCATCTGGTCTCACCAACCTAAGAATAAATATTGAAGACAATGTATTTAAAACTTTTCTACTTACGAAACACATCTCTTCAAACGATATTTTTAAAATTGCTAGTTTCTACAAGAAGCATTTGCTTATGTCACAAAGAACTAACAGAGAGAATGGTTATCTGATTAAACCATCAGATTGCCTGAGCATTTAGGGCTCTAAAATATTGCCTACATAATAAGGCTTATGTCATGGAATGAACTTTTGATTGGTTATTTCATGCTAAGGAATCAAAGCTCAGATTAATTTTAGGTGCTACCAGGCTTGTGAAAGTTCTCAGTTGTAGGACTAATAAATAAACATCCATTTTTGCTCCAATATTTAACCATGACAGAGACAATATTCTACAATGTATGGATTATAAAAATGTTCTGATATTACTAGCCTTTGACTTCCTTATAGATCCTATTTCCAAGTAGAGCGGTTTATAAATGCTAAGTAATTTATCTCTCCAATGAGACAGACTTTCTCTAAGCCACATTCACAAACAAGGACTAAAAAATGGTCACAATTGTCATGAATCAAACGTTTACTAGTGATAGGCATTCCCAACTTGTTGGCTGAACTTAACCAATCACGCTCAGACAATACAAAGGAATTATGTATCCTTCAGATAGACCATATGCTACAGAGATTATTATTCAGTCACTAATTTCTGAATTATTAAATTTGAATAAATTCCCTATAATATATAAAATAATTACAGTTACAACATGGGTTTGAACTGCAAGGGTCCACTTATACATGGGCTTTTTTTCAATAAATACAGTTGCCCCTTGTATCTATAGGTTCTGAATTTACATCCAAATGCAGATCAAAAATACAGTGTTCACAAAATCCATGGATATAGAGGGTCAACTTTTTGTATCCACAGGTTCCACAGGGCAGACTGCAGGGACTTGAGTATGCATAGATTTTGATATCTGCAGGGGATACTGGAACCAATTCCCCACAGATACAAAAGGACAATTATATTTTATGCTGAACTCTCTCTAGTAATCAAAATGCTCTTAGATTAGAGGAGTAGGCTAATACCAATGATTGAGAATAGCACTTACATATTACAAAAGTCCACAAAAAGGTTAGCTCTTGGCTAGATTGCTTCATTTTCTCACTGTTCTTACCATTGAGTTTTGCTATTCACCTTCAGAATCTTCACTATTGACATTTACTCAATTTTTATTGAACATGGAAACCATTTAATTGTATATTATTAGTATATCACAGTTACTCTAGTAACTGCTTTATTAATATAATTAATACATTGACTAATTCTATAGATTCTATTTACATTTACTAAATTATAGCTGGGTTAAAAACACTATACCTCACACAATAAATAAAACAAATCTTTCCTCAACAGTACTTTAGGTACCAGGAGACTATCCTTTACCTGAATACACATATATTTATATATATATTTCCTAGACAAGAGCCAGATAGCAGTGTTCAAAGGTGGATAGCAAAAATGCCCAAGATAAAGTGACTGACAAAGCAAGTTAAATGTATTTATACATCCTTCTGTGATTATACATTTAAATTATTACCATTTCTTCTCTAATTATGAGCATATATTGATGTTATATTTCTTAAGCTAGCATACAAATGTTGGCTTTGTTATTATATACTTTATGCCATATATATATTTGTAAAATGCCAGTGGGTAAGAAACTTTTAAAAAGATATTTATGTAAATATGTTTGCAGAAAAATACCCAAAAAATGTTGATGAGGAATAGGGATTGAGGAACTAGAAGTTCACCTTTCTATACATTTGATATTTGAAAAAAAAGATGTAAATCACCAACATGTTGACTTATTTAGCAATTGTTCATTATAAAATAGCCCAAATGGAAACATAGTCCCATCCTTGTTCAATAGGACTTTGAGGTAGTATTTAATAGCATGATTTTTTTTTCTAGACAGTTTCATTATCATACTACCTCATTTTTGTTACCAGTAATTTTCAGAAGTGACAGAAGTTTATATGATGAAAGTAAATGAGACACATATTCATAAGGAACAATTGAGAAATTATTAATTGTAGGTTAATATAGCCAAATTCGCTTCTAAGAATGTGTGTCAAGAAGTAGGCCAATGTGAAAAAAGTGGCTTCTTGTCTGCACCCCCTCACTCCACTTTTTTAATGTGCAGTTACAATTTACCAATTGTGAGAGCTCAACTGAGTGTGAAAGAGCAGTGCCTACATCTGCATGGCATCAAGAAGTACGGACAGGCTTTAGTCCCTATCAATTTATACTCTGTATCTAGCAAAATGTCTGACAAAAAAAAAAAAATAGGAACTGGTTGATGTGGTTTGGATATTTGTCTCCTCCAAATTTCATGTTGAAATGTGACTCCCGGTGTTGGAGGTGGGGCCTAGTGGGAGGTGTTTGGGTCACGGGGCCAGATCCCTCATGACTGGCTTGGTGTCCTCCCTGGGGTAATGAATGAGTTGTCCCTCTGTTAGTTCAAGTGAAAATTGACTGTTAAAAAGAGCCTAGCACCTGCCCTCCCTCTCACTCCCACTCTTGCCATCTGACATGCCAGCTTTCCTGCACCTTCCACCATAACTGTAACCTTCCTGAGGCCCTCATTGGAAGCAGATTCTGATGCCATGCTTCTAGTACAGCTTGCAAAACCATAAGCCAAATAAACCCATTTTCTTATAAATTATACAGCCTCACGTATTTCCTTTATAGCAGCACAAAACGGACTATACACAAGTCGAAAGAGTGAGAGAGAGAAAAAGTAGCAACTAAAATCTAAACTCTTTAAATATGACTTCAGGAAATGCACACACACACAGAAACATATACAAATATACATCTAATTTTTGCCCCATTTATCTAAGTTGAATTTTTAAAAGACTACTTTCATCAATTTGTCCACCACCTCACCTCCAACAGTACTTGCACAGGCATGCATGCATGTGCACACACACACAGACTTGCACACTCACATCTGCCCTATTATTGTTACAGACAGAACATCAGAGAGAAGACCACATTTAATCTTCAGTTTTCCAGTGCAGTTTGAGGAATGTGTGAGTCTCCACATGTATCAGTGAACTTTTGTAAAGAGTAACTCACTATCTTGATTGGAATAGAAGTGGAGAACAGACTGTACATATCAAATCTTTGCATTGCCCTAAGACTTTCAGAGAAATCTTTAAAATCAAGGATTCTATGTGTATCATAGTTGCTCTTTCTCCCTTTAGAATTCCCCATTATAAAGGCTTTAGATGTACTCATTATGCTTTTGAAGCTACTTATCATAACAAAGGAGTACTCTAGATTCTGCCTATAGACTTAATGGCTTAAAACCAAGTATATTTAGAATATACTGTAGAAATGCATTTGCTATAAATCATATTTTTATATCATTTTAGGTGTGGTTTTAGTATCTGTAAATAACTAAACAAATGGCCAAATTTATATAATATTATAACCTAGGCCACAAATAAATATTTCCAATTTTCTAATCTATTTTATTTATATAACCATATAAATTCTGCCAGCAATTTAAATAATATTAGGATTTGATCCAGTTTATTCAAACTATAGATATAGAATATTATGTTTATTCACAGAGATTACTTATAGTAAACATGTCAGTAAGAGAATAATTTTTTCAGTGTTGAAGCCATAACATTACAAAGCATTCCAAAAAAGCTGCAAATTGGTTATATTAAGTTTCTAGCCATTTAAGTCTTTAAAACGTCTCTCGGAGATATATTTGAAGATTCTTGTATTCAAGAATAAGTAGAGGTGCACATGTGGGGTGGACGGAACCTCTATTACAGAAGTAATTTTTAATGATAATGACATACTGAATAAAGAATAAGATTAGTTTCCCTAATGAGAAGTACTCAGGGCTTCTTAAATAGGTCATGGTTCATTAAGTAGTTGGCTAGTCTCCTTGCCCCATTCATCACAGATTTTACACAAAGAAAATTTTCTGTTACACCTTATTATCATATCAAATATATACATGAAAGTACAAAAGAGTTTACACTATAAATACTATTTTAAACAGTTATAACATCACATGAAAAGAGATGAAATAAACTGCTTATAAACAAGACATTAACCCTACTTAACACACATTCTTAAAAGCGAATTTGGCTATATTAACCTACAATTAATAATTTCTCAGTTGTTCCTTATTACAAATATGTGTCTCATTTACTTTCATCATATAAACTTCTGTCACTTCTGAAAATTATTGGCAACAAAAATGAGGTAGTGTGATAATGAAACTGTCAAGAATAAAAAAACGATGCTATTAATAACTTTCTAATGCCTCCAACTTTAGCCTCTAAGATTTTCTTTGTGGTTCTTTTAAGTTTCATTCCACACAAATTTAAAAGCAAATAACTTTATGCAGTATTTCTTGACCAGAATAATTAGGCACGATTTCATGTCAATAATGGCATCCTCTACAGACAATAAAATATGTTCAGAGGGAATAATTTGTATATATTTTGCTAAATTTAAGTCCATTAAATCATTACCATTAAAAGATCTCCTTTACATATAAACAGCAGCTTTTATTTTCTAATTTATATAAAATTGTAGGCATAGGTACTATTTTCTTTGTCTTTTATTCATAAAACCTTTGTGTATGGCACATACTAGTGTTAGAAATAGGGTGACATTAACAACAGTAGGTTCTTAACTGCTTTGTTGAATAAAAATAGGAATACATGAATGAACAAACAAAAGTAACCAAGATATTGGAATGACTGAAAAAGCACCACTTTTACTGGGAAAAAAAATCCTCCAGACAATTATATAGGCATGGTAACATGTTTTTGTATACAGGCCACAAATTATAAAAACCTCATAGTAAAAGCTATACATTATCATTTAATTTTTTTCTACTTTTTAAATCATTCATTTCCTTAGGAAGCACAATATTATTTTATACATCAGCTTCAAACATTTCCTACAATCCAAATTATATTACACTTCTGTTAATTATTATTGTTATTCTATTGAATAACAATATTGAAATTATTTGGCAAAAGTTTGCATTTAGAAAGGCAAAGTACATTAGAAAAAATGCATTTTGAAACCAAAAGTTTAATTACATTTTTCATTGCAAAACCATTGAATTAAAAAGATAATAATTTATAAATTTCTACTTTTATATCTTCTTTCATATGTCAATATGTAAAATCTTATGACTCATCAAGTTACACATTTGATGTAAGTTATTATTAGACTCATGTTATCATTTTGAAGCCTGTCTCAGGAAACAAATATTCTATGGGTACAAAGTTTATTCTGGAAAGTGCATTTTTGTCCTGTAAAGAATAAAAGTAATTTACATTTATTTCTAAAGATTAAAATTTCTGGTCAATTCTTAACTCTATGCATCTCTCGTTGTCTTTTGAAGCAAAATGTCACAGCAGTTTCAGAATTCAAACAAGTGTGTTTCTATGAGCAGTTAAAAACATAGAGAATTAAAATATAAAAGTTCTTATATGTGTTTAACTTTTATTTATTGGGTAATTATTTTAATTATTAGTTTTAATTTTAATGCTTTAAAGATAAACTTAAAATAACATAATTGGGTTTACTACTTCATGGATCCTCTCATCCTTGCTATCCATGTTCATAAATAATCTGAATGTATTCTACAATGCTCTAGAAAGCTGGTTCTAGATAGCCTCCTTCTATCAGTACCCCTACTTGATGGAATAGATTAAGGTATCAGGATCATTGCACATTAGTATTCTGTTACTACATTTAATTTAATGTAGTAACAGAATTTAATTTAATTGCTTATTAGTATTGTTACTACATTTAATTCCTGTGCTTATTGAGGACCTATAATATACCAGCCAATGGAGCTGATCGTAGGGATTACCAGGAATCAAGCACCTGTTCTATAGAGCATCCTTGCTTTCTGTATCCAAATCTCTTAACCAGAGGTCAAGTTAGAGGGGATTGGTGGGCTGGAAATGTGAGGAAGTGGTAAAAGATAGGGAGATGTAAATCGAGGAGTAGATAACAAGTGTCAAAAAATCAGGTAGAGAACACTTCCACATAACATAAGGCTCTCAGGTAATCTTCCTTCCATTTCTGGCCTGGAGAAATAACTGTATGCTTTAGAAGGGGAAGCACAGTTTCTCACAAACAGTATGCTTTCAATACCAGTTCTTCGTCATGCCAAAGCATGCCCTTAAGCAATCCCTTAGTTCTTCTGGATATTATGTGGCTTCTTAGACTTGGGTGGTAACAGAGACAAAAAAAAAAAATACTGGTAAAGGGAATAATAATTACTCCAAATGTTTGTTTTCCTGGTGTAGGATTTTAGTAAGTCTGAAATGACCCAGTAGACAGAACAGCAACAACAATGAAAGTGTTAAGAGTAGCCCATTGATAAATCTATTTAATTATTAGAGTGTGGTAGGCAGGGTGCAGGTATGATGAGGATGCTGAGGGCCTCGAAAAGCATAGAGGACTTCTACATCCAGGAAGATAGAGTAGACATACCTTTCCTATTCCTCCTGCTAAGTTCAATAAAAAATCCTGGACATTATATTAAAACACACACACACACACACACACACTCACACAGACAGACTATAAAAGGGAGAGAAGAGGAAGCAGATGAGCCTGGGGACTCAGGATCCCAGGAACCATAAAATGGTGAGTTCCTGCATTCCCCCTTTTGTCTCATATAATCCCAGATTTGGAGCTAAAGAAGCCAGCAAGTGGAAATGCCAATGGGTACAGACATAAAAACCCCAACAGCCTCCGATGTTTAGCCAGAAGACAAAGAAAGGGGCAGCCCAGCAATACAGAACACTTTTAGATATTAACCTCTCTATTCTTGCCAAATACTACAGAAAAAAATGTGCTCCCACCCCACCCCAACGGACATGCCAGCAATGTCCAAGAGGTGAGGGGGCCAAGGCTTGGACTTTAAAAAGGCTGTGATGATCATAGGTTCCAAGATGGCCAAATAGGAACAGCTCCAGTCTACCCCTCCCAGAGTGAGTGATGCAGAAGATGGGTGATTTCTGCATTTCCAACTGAGGTACCGGGTTCATCTCACTGGGGCTTGTCTGACTGTCGGTGCAGCCCATGGAGCAGGGTGGGGCACTGCCTCACAGGGAAGTGCAAGGGGTTGGGGAATTCCCTTTCCTAGCAAAGGGAAGCTGTGACAGATGGTACCTGGAAAATCGGGACACTCCCACCATAATACTGTGCTTTTCCAACGGTCTTAGCAAATGGCACACCAGGAAATTATATCCCATGCGTGGCTCGGAGGGTCCCATGCCCACGGAGCCTCGCTCACTGCTAGCACAGCAGTCTGAGATCGAACTGCGAGGTGGAAGCGAGGCTGGGGGAGGGGTGTCCGCCATTGCTGAAGCTTGAGTAGGTAAACAAAGTGGCTGAGAAGCTCAAACTGGGTGGAGCCCACCACAGCACAAGGAGGCCTGCCTGCCTCTCTAGACTCCACCTCTGGGGGCAGGCCTAGTTGAACAAAAGGCAGCACAAACTTCTGCAGACTTAAAATGTCCCTGTCTGACAGCTTTGAAGAGAGTAGTGGTTCTCCCAGCACAGAGTTTGAGATCTGAGAATGGACAGACTGCCTTCTCAAGTGGGTCCCTGACTCCTGAGTAGCCTAACTGGGAGACATCTCACAGTAGGGGCCAACTGACACCTCATACAGCCGGGTGCCCCACTGAGACGAACCCTCCAGAGGAAGGATCAGGCAGCAACATTTGCTGTTCTGCAATATTTGCTGCTCTGCAGCCTCCGCTGGTGATACCCAGGCAAACAGGGGCTGGAGTGGACCTCCGGCAAACTCCAACAGACCTGCAGCTGAGGGTCCTGACTGTTGGAAAACTAACAAACAGAAAGGACATACACACCAAAACCGCACCTGTATGTCACCATCATCAAAGAACAAAGGTAGATAAAACCACAAAGATAGGGAGAAACCAGAGTAGAAAAGCTGAAAATTCTAAAAATCAGAGCTCCTCTTCTCCTCCAAAGAAATGCAGCTCCTCGCCAGCAACGGAACAAAGCTGGATGGAGAATGACTTTGACGAGTTGAGAGAAGAAGGCTTCAGATGATTGGTGGTAATAAACTTCTCTGAGCTAAAGGAGGATGTTCAAACCCATTGCAAAGAAACTAAAAACCTTGAAAAAAGACGAGATGAATGGTTAACTGAAATAAACAGTGTAGAGAAATCCTTAAATGACCTGATGGAGCTGAAAACCATGGCACGAGAACTACGTGATGCATTCACAAGCTTCAGTCGCCGATTTGATCAACTGGAAGAAAGGGTATCAGTGATTGAAGATCAAATGAATGAAATGAAGCGAGAAGAGAAGTTTAGATAAAAAAGAGTAAAAACAAATGAACAAAGCCTCCAAGAAATATGGGACTATGTGAAAAGACCAAATCTACGTCTGACTGGTGTACCTGAAAGTAACGGGGAGAATGGAAACAAGTTGGAAAACACTCTGCAGGATATTATCCAGGAGAACTTCCCCAACCTAGCAGGGCAGGCCAACATTCAAATTCAGGAAATACAGAGAATGCCACAAAGATACTCCACGAGAAGAGCAACTCCAAGACACATAATTGTCAGATTCACTAAAGTTGAAATGAAGGAAAAAATGTTAAGGGCAGCCAGAGAGAAAGGTCAGATTACCCACAAAGGGAAGCCCATCAGACTAACAGCGGATCTCTTGGCAGAAACTCTACAAGCTAGAAGAGAGTGGGGGCCAATAGTCAACATTCTTAAAGAGAAGAATTTTCAACTCAGAATTTCATATCCAGCCAAACTAAGCTTCATAAGTGAAGGAGAAATAAAATCCTTTACAGACAAGCAAATGCTGAGAGATTTTGTCACCACCAGGCCTGCCCTAAAAGAGCTCCTGAAGGAAGCACTAAACATGGAAAGGAACAACCTGTACCAGCCACTGCAAAAACATGCTGAATTGTAAAGACCATCAATGCCAGGAAGAAACTGCATCAGCTAATGAGCAAAACAACCAGCTAACTTCATAATGACAGGATCAAATTCACACATAACAATATTAACCTTAAATGTAAATGGGCTAAATGCTCCAATTAAAAGACACAGACTGGTAAATTGGATAAAGAGTCAAGACCCATCAGTGTGCTGTATTCAGGAGACCCATCTCATGTGCAGAGACACACATAGGCTCAAAATAAAGGGAAGGAGGAAGATCCACCAAGCAAATGGAAAACCAAAAAAGCAGAAGTTGCAATCATAGTCTCTGATAAAACAGACTTAAACCAACAAAGATCAAAAGAGACAAAGAAGGCCATTACATAATGGTAAAGGGATCAATTCAACAAGAAGAGCTAACTATCCTGAATATATAGGCACCCGATACAGGAGCACCCAGATTCATAAAGCAAGTCTTTAGAGACCTACAAAGAGACTTAGACTCCCACATAATAAGAATGGGAGACTTTAACACCCCACTGTCAACATTAGACAGATCAACGACACAGAAAGATAACAAAGATATCCAGGAATTGAACTCAGCTCTGCACCAAGTGGGCCTAATAGACAGCTACAGAACTCCCCACCCCAAATCAACAGAGTATACATTCTTCTCAGCACCACATCACACTTATTCCAAAATTGACCACATAGTTGGAAGTAAAGCACTCCTCAGCAAATGTAAAAGAACAGAAATTATAACAAACTGTCTCTCAGACCACAGTGCAATCAAACTAGAACTCAGGATTAAGAAACTCACTCAAAACCGCTCAACTACATGGAAACTGAACAACCTGCTCCTGAGTGACTACTGGATACATAACGAAATGAAGGCAGAAATAAAGATGTTCTTTGAAACCAACGAGAACAAAGACACAACATACCAGAATCTCTGGGACACATTTAAAGCAGTGTGTAGAGGGAAATTTATAGCACTAAATGCCCACAAGATAAAGCAGGAAGACCTAAAATTGACACCCTAACATCACAGTTAAAAGAACTAGAGAAGCAAGAGCAAAAACATTCAAAAGCTAGCAGAAGGCAAGACATAACTAAGATCACAGCAGAACTGAAGGAGACAGAGGCACAAAAAGCCCTTCAAAAATCAATGAATCTAGGAGCTGGTTTTTTGAAAAGATGAAAAAAATCGATAGACCACTAGCAAGACTAATAAAGAAGAAAAGAGAGAAGAATCAAGCAGATGCGATAAAAAGTGATAAAGGGTATATCACCACCGATCCCGCAGAAATACAAACTACCATCAGAGAATACTATAAACACCTCTACACAAATAAACTAGAAAATCTAGAAGAAATGGATAAATTCCTCGACACACACACCCTCCCAAGGCTAAACCAGAAAGAAGTTGAATCCCTGAATAGATCAATAGCAGATTCTGAAATTGAGGCAATAATTAATAGCCTACCAACCAAAAAAAGTCCAGGACCAGATGGATTCACAGCCAAATTCTACCAGAGGTACAAAGAGGAGTTGGTACCATTCCTTCTGAAACTATTCCAATCAACAGAAAAAGAGGGAATCCTCCCTAATTCATTTAATGAGGCCAACATCATCCTGATACCAAAGCCTGGCAGAGCCACAACAAAAAAAGAGAATTTTAGATGAATATCCCGGATGAACATCAATGCCAAAATCCTCAATAAAATACTGGCAAACCGAATCCAGCAGCACATCAAAAAGGTTATCCACCATGATCACATTGGCCTCATCCCTGGGATGCAAGGCTGGTTCAACATATGCAAATCAATAAATGTAACCCATCCTATAAACAGAACCAAAGACAAAAACCAGATGATTATCTCAATAGATGCAGAAAAGGCCTTCCACAAAATTCAACAGCCCTTCATGCTAAAAACTCTCAATAAATTAGGTATTGATGGGACATATCTCAAAATAATAAGAGCTATTTATGACAAACCCACAGCCCAATATCATACTCAATGGGCAAAAACTGGAAGCATTCCCTTTGAAAACTGGCACAAGACAGGGATGCCCTCTCTTAGCATTCCTATTCAACATAGTGTTGGAAGTTCTGGCCAAGGCAATCAAGCAGGAGAAAGAAATAAAAGGTATTCAATTAGGAAAAGAGGAAGTCAAGTTGTCCCTGTTTGCAGATGACATGATTGTATATTTAGAAAACCCCATTGTCTCAACCCAAAATCTCCTTAAGCTGATAAGCAACTTCAGCAAAGTCTCAGGATACAAAATCTACGTGCAAAAATCACAAGCATTCCTATACACCAATAACAGAAAAACAGAGAGCCAAATCATGAGCGAACTCCCATTCATGATTGCTTCAAAGAGAATAAAATACCTAGGAATCCAACTTACAAGGGATGTGGAGGACCTCTTCAAGGAGAACTACGAACTACTGCTCAACGAAATAAAAGAGGACACAAACAAATGGAAGAACATTCCATGCTCATGGATAGGAAGAATCAATATCGTGAAAATGGCTATACTGCCCAAAGTAATTTATAGATTCAATGCCATCCCATCAAGCTAACAATGACTTTCTTCATAGAATTGGAAAAAACTACTTTAAAGTTCATATGGAACCTAAAAAGAGCCCGCATTGCCAAGACAATCCTAAGCAAAAAGAACAAAGCTGGAGGCATCACGCTACCTGACTTTAAACTCTACTACAAGGCTACAGTAACCAAAACAGCATGGTACTGGTACCAAAACAGAGATATAGACCAACAGAACAGAATAGAGCCCTTGGAAATAATACCACACATCTACAACCATCTGATCTTTGACAAACCTGACAAAAACAAGAAATAAGGAAATGAATCTCTATTTAATAAATGGTGCTGGGAAAACTGGCTAGCCACATGTGGAAAGCTGAAACTGGATCCCTTCCTTACACCTTATACAAAAATTAATTCAAGATGGATTAAAGACTTAAATGTTAGACCTAAAATCATAAAAACTCTAGAAGAAAACCTAGGCAATACCATTCAGGACATAGGCACGAGCAAGGACTTCATGACTAAAACGCCAAAAGCAATGGCAACAAAAGCCAAAATTGACAAATGGGATCTAATTAAACTAAAGAGCTTCTGCACAGCAAAAGAAACCACCATCAGAGTGAACAGGCAACCTACAGAATGGGAGAAAATTTTTACAATCTACCCATCTGACAAAGGGCTAATATCCGGGATCTACAAAGAACTTAAACAAATTTACAAGAAAAAAAAACCCATCAAAAAGTGGGCAAAGGATATGAACAGACACTTCTTAAAAGAAGACATTTATGCAGCCAACAGACACATGAAAAAATGCTCATCATAACTGATCATCAGAGAAATGCAAATCAAAACCAAAATGAGATACCATTTCACACCAGTTAGAATGGTGATCATTAAAGTCAGGAAACAACAGGTGCTGGAGAGGATGTGGAGAAATAGGAATGCTTTTACACTGTTGGTGGGACTGTAACTATTTCAACCATTGTAGAAGACAGTGTGGCAATTCCTCAAGGATCTAGAACTAGAAATGCCATTTGACCCAGCCATCTCATTACTGGGCATATATCTAAAGGATTATAAATCATGTTGCTATAAAGACACATGCACACATATGTTTATTGCGGCACTATTCACATTAGCAAAGACTTGGAACCAACCCATATGTCCATCAATGATAGACTGGATTAAGAAAATGTGGCACACATACACCATGGAATACTATGCAGCCATAAAAAGGATGAGTTCATGTCCTATGTAGGGACACGGATGAAGCTGGAAACAATCATTCTGAGCAAACTATCGCAAAGACAGAACACCAAACACAGCATGTTCTCACTCATAGGTGGGAATTGAACAATGAGATCACTTGGACACAGGGTAGGGAATGTCACACACCAGGGCCTGTCGTGGGGTGGGGGGAGCGGGGAGGGATAGCATTAGGAGATCTACCTAATGTAAATGATGAGTTAAGGGGTGCAGCACACCAACATGGCACATGTATACATATGTAACAAACCTGCACATTGTGCACATGTACCCTAGAATTTAAAGTGTAATAATTAAAAGTCTGTGACGAGGCAGCCCGATCCACACTGAAGTATAGTGTCAAGTGGTGATTGAGGACTTCCATCACTGTAGACCAGTAACAAGGCCCTGATCCCTGCCATAGTGTCTGTGGAAACTATGTAGGGAGTATGGACTTAAACCTACACCCAGCAGTAACAAGAGGCTCCTCCTCTTCCACGCTGAGGTGATGTCACAGGGGGCCCTGGAGGGTCAGGACTTTCACCAACACCAATTGGTCAGGAAGGCAACCCCTGCTGCTGTGTTGGTAGAGACAACATGGGGAACTGGTGACCCCCAATCTCGCCCAGCAGTATCAAGGAGCTCTACCCTGACGAAGTGGGAAACCTGGACTTGTACCTCCGCTTGGAAGTAATGAAGCAGCACTCATCCTTCCCCTGACAGAACAGAGCCAGAGAAAGCAAGTTAAAACAGAAGGCTTAAACACGATTTGGAGTCTCATAATATAATATCAAAATGTCCAAGTTTCAATACAAAATCACTCATCATACAAAAAACTGGGAAAGATCTCAAACTGTATAACAAAAGATTTCAAACTGTGCAACAACAATCTGAGAATTCTGAGAAATCTGAGAAAGATATTACAACATTCATGATAAAAATTATTCAGTGACCAATTATGAACATGATTGGAACAAATGAAAAAAATACACACATACCAAATGGAAACTGTAAAACTCATAGATTAGATCAACAGGAAAATGTAAAGGGCAGAGGAAAAAAATCAGTGTACTGGCAGATAACAGAAGACATTGTCCAAGAAGTCCCAGCCAGGGCAACCAGGTAAGAGAAAGAAATAAAGGGCGTCTGAATTAGAAAAGAGGAAGTCAGATTATTGCTGTTCAACAATGATGTGACTGTGTACCTAGAAAGCCCTAGAGACTCCTCCAAAAGACTCCTAGATTTGATAAACGAATTCAGTAAAGTCTACAAAATCAATGTACAAAAGTTACAAAATCAATGTACACAAATCAGTAGTACTGCTATACACCAACAATGACCAAGTTGAGAATCAAATTAAGAACTCAATTTCTCTTACAAAGCAGCAAAAAAATTAGAATAACCTTAAACAAACAAATGGAAACACATCCCATACTCATGGATTGGAATAATCAATATCATGAAAATGACCATACTGCCCAAAGCAATCTATAGATTCAATGTAATTTCTATCAAAACACCAACATCATTTTTCACAGAATTAGAGAAAACAATCCTAAAACTCATACGGAACTAAAAAAGAGCCTGAATAGCCAAAGCAATCATAAGCAAAATTAATAAATGTCCAAGTTTCACATTTTATACAAGGGACTTGAGCATTAGCAGACCTTGGTATCTGATAAGAGTCCTAAAACCAGTCTCCTACAGTACCCAGGGACAATTCTATCACAAATCTAGCATTTGTGTTATCGCAGTCTTGAAAAGAGAAGAGAGAGGGCAAGGCAGGAAAAGTACACAAAGAAATAATAGCTGAAAACTCCAAATTTGGCAAGAAACATACATCTATATTTTCAACAAGCTGAGAAAAATCCCAAACAAGATCAACTCAAAGAAATCCACACAGAGACATGTCATAATTAAACTTCTGATCACTACTCGACCAAAAGACCAAACAACTTTTTGAAAGCATCCAGAGATAAGTGACACTTTACCTACAGAGGAAAAGCAATTAGAACAATTAGTTTTCATCAGAAGCCATGGAGGCCAGAAGGAAGTGAACACAATACTTTTTAGGCGCTAAAAGAAATGCATATAGAATTGTAACCTTACAATCCTACATCTAGAGAAAATATCCTTCAACAATGAAGGAGAAATCAAGACATTCTCAGATAAAGGGAAAGTGAAAAAAATGTGTCACCTGCAGACCTATCCAAAAATGGGTAAAGGAAATTCCCGAAAAGGCATGGTGGTTCATGCCTGTATTCCCAGCACTTTTGGGAGGCTGAAGCAGGTGGAT
This sequence comes from Homo sapiens, assembly GCF_000001405.40. Lineage (NCBI taxonomy): Eukaryota > Metazoa > Chordata > Mammalia > Primates > Hominidae > Homo > Homo sapiens. The sequence goes on along the minus strand of NC_000004.12, from coordinate 157,155,369 downwards.
CACTTGAGGCCAGGAATTTGAGACCAGTCTGGCCAACATGAGGAAACCCTGTCTCTACTAAAAATATAAAACTTAGCCAAGTGTGGTGTGGCACACACCTGTGGTCCTAACTAATTGGGAGGCTTAGGTGGGAGGATTGCTTGAATCCAGGAGGTGGAGGTTGCATGAGCTGAGATCACACCACTGCACCCCAGCCTGGGTGACAGAGTGAGACTCTGCCTCAAAAACAAAAAACAAGGAAATTCTCTAAACAGAAAATAATAAAAGAGATATAACCTTGGAATATATGAAGATGAAAGAAAAACATAGCAAAAATATACAATAACATTTTCTTCTCCTTGAGTTTTCTAAATTATATTTGATGGTGATGCAAAAACTATAATGTGGCTCTAAATGTATGCAGAAGTATTTAAGACAATTATAAACATCAGCTTAAGGGATGAAAGAGAGGTAACATTTTTAAACATCACAAAAGCTAGCAAAATAATGACACTAGTAGATCGTGATGTTATGCATGCATAACTTATCCAGACCAACCACTAAAGAAGTTAAACAAAGAGATACACTTAAAAACAACATAGAAAGCTCAAAATGAAATTCTAAAAAAATGTTCAAGTAACCCACATTAAAAAAGGAAAAAGAGGGCCAAGTGCAGTGGCTCATGCCTGTAATCCCAGCACTTTGGGAGGCCAATGTGGGCGGATCACCTGAGGTCAGGAGTTCAAGACCAACCTGACCAACATGAAGAAACCCCATCTCTACTGAAAATACAAAATTAGCCAGACATGGTGGCAGGTGCCTGTAATCCCAGTTACTCGGGAGGCTGAGGCAGGAGAATCGTTTGAACCTGAGAGGCAGATGTTGCGGTGAGCCGAGATCACGCCATTGCACTCCAGCCTGGGCAACAAGAGTGAAACTCCATCTCAAAAAAAAAAAAAAAAAAAAAGGAAAAAGAAGATAGAGAAACAAAAACCAAAATAAACAAAACAAAGAAAAATAAAACATAGAGAAAACCTTACTATATCAATAATTACGTTAAATGGAAGTGATCTAAATATACCAATTCAAACATAAGAGAATGGCAGAGCAGTTTAAATACCAAACACCAACTATATGTTGTCTACAAGAAACTCACTTCAAATATAATGATATAGAAATAATGGATGTAGAAGTATGAAAAAGATATATTAAGGACATCTTTAAGGCCAAGATAGTGCTGGATTAATGCAAATTTTATCCTTATTCTTCATGAAAGGCAGAAAAGAGTTCTAAGGCCTCAAGAAGCCTCCCTGAAGGTTTCAGCTAAGTATTTGCAGAGGGTCTTGGCTTTAGGCTCAGAAAATGAGTATAAATGACTTAAACCATTTTTTAAAGGCCACAGGCAGCACCATACAAGCATGGTTCCTTTGCTTCTGCATCTAAGAACCGCATGCGGTATACTAGTCTAGCATTCTAGGTGAGGGGACTAGTGGTGATTAACAAACTGATAGAGCAATTGTGGGACCAGAGGAAAAGCACGGAAGGTAAGATTTTCAAGGTTGTAGGATGGAATGGACCTATTGGTCTTCTGTGGAATTTACTGCTCTTAGCTCAATGGAAATGGTCTTCTGGTTGACTGGTCCACCCATCCAGAAGGCATCAATGAGGGGCACATTGGGGTAAATGGACAGCTAACCTCAATCCTTTACACAGCCTGGCACGTTGAAATTTACCATTGCCCACTATTCTTAAACCCATAATTAATTGACAAGGCAGGGTTATGGGGTAAAATCTTAAATATTCCTTCTCCTGCCACTCACTGCTGGGAGGGACAGATTCCTAACTGCAGGCATCGTTTCCCTGAGCCAGACATCCAATAAACAAGTAGCCTGCCTGACATGCTCCATGTGAAGCTCTCTAATGTAATGGGGAATGGTGGGTGATTTAATCATGAGCATGGGCTTCTCCAAGCCTTTTTATGTAAGGCAGATGATCAGTGATGCCCCACAGTCCTCGGGCCTTTCATTAAGATACATTGAATGAGAAACAATAGGAAGGTCTGTGCTCCATCCAGCAAGGTCTCCAAATTCAATGGTGACCATCAAAGCAGAGTTGAATCCTTAAACTCAGTGCAAAGTCCTCAAAAAATTTAATAAGGCATTACTTTTTTCCTTAAGTGGTATTCGACCTAAACGTTCTGAATGTTTTCTAAAAAGCACGTTTCCCAAAAATTGTGTTGTGCTCAGTTTGTTTTCATCTGTGAGAGAAAAACAAGCAAATGCCAATTCCATCAAAACTTGTCACATACACAAAGGTGTCTCTCTCTTGACACTATGAAGTGGTTGGGGGAAATGATTTCATGGCATAATTTTATCCTTACCTGCAAAGTGCTAATATGAACAGGAGTCCCTGTTCCATTCACAGTATTCTTTTTAGCCACATTTCCACCTTTTCCATCTGCTTGCTCAGCCTTAGCAATTCTGGCTTTTTCAGCTTCAACCCTTTTGGGGTTGTTCAGCATCACCTGGACAACTGCATACTCCACCAGGGAAGCAAACCCAAAGAGAAGGCAAGCAATAAGCCAAACATCAAGAGCCTTCACATAGGAAACTTTGGGAAGCTCAGCGGCAAGGGTTGTGCACTCAGAGGCCAAGCTGAGGACTGAGAAGATACCTACAGAAACAGAAAGAGGAATGAAAGTTGCTTTTTATCCCTATGAGATGTTCTGGGGTCATTACTCTTTGACTAAATCCGTCTCCAGTAACTTCCAATGACCCATGAACAATTTGTCAGGTCCCCTTAAAGCTCAAAGACTAGAATAAATAATAGGTACATGCCTTTTCTGTAAGGACTATTGACTATGGTTGAGGATTTTGTAAATACTTAGGATTTTAAAAAATAAATAGAAATTTAAACCAGGGTATAAAAATATAATTTGGACCTGTTTTCAATATTAAAGATGGCTAAAACTATTGTATAGTATCTCTGAGGAAGCCACAGAGCTCTCTTATGAGACAGATTATGTATGTTATTTTTCAGCTTTGTTTGAGAAAGATTTCAGTTATAGAGCTGAGTTTTGTCCCCATGAGCAACTAAATCAGAGCAAGAACAGAACATATAAAGCAATGTTTTGATAAGGTTCATAATAAAAAAAACTAATAGAAAAGACACAGCAGGAAATATTCCTGTTTAGGGAGAACATATGATTCCAGATTTCCAAAGAAAGGTATGAAGGTCTGCTCCATGTAATGGTAACCCTTCAATGAAAGCTAACACATTATACACTAATTTAAGTCAAGTAATTGTCAGACTCCAAAGAAGAATTGCAATAATTTATTGCTCTCTTTCTCTTCCCAATTGCCACTCTCCCTGCCATTCCTCTCTCTTTTTCCTTTCCTTCGTATTTTCAAGAGAGAAGATGATGAAATATATTTTATAGCTATAACCTATTGGCATGGGCTACCAGGAACATGCTGAGTCAGAAAAGGAACCTCATTCAGTGTCAAGGGAGACTCACTTTACTTGAAATAGAAAACAGATCTGACTTGGCTCTGTGAGTCCATCTCACATACTGGGTTGAGTATAATTTTTTCTTCTTAGATTTGGCCACTTATGAGAATTAATGTATATATATCACCATAATAATTAAATGTCTACTTGGCTCTCTTTTCCCTTCCCATGAAATTACAAACACTATATTAGTATTAATAATCAGTTAAACATTGAAAAATATATCAATTGCATCATTTCAGAAGCTTCTGAAAAGTGTTTTTTGCATTCAAGAACCTAAGATACTCTCTATTAGAAGGAAACACGTTAAGCAAATATAACTTCTGCAGATGAAAACAATATTCAATATATAACAACTTGATAAGCTCCTAGTTTACTTTTACAATAATTATCCTCGGCCCTAAGGAAAACTAAAAACTAATTAAGAGAATTGTATTTTAAAAGTTAATGTAGGTCTTACATTAACTGTCTCTCAGACCACAGTGCAATCAAACTGTGGTCAAAAGTGGAAAGTAACATAAAAATCCAAGACCTTATCAATTACTGCCCTAAACTACAGTTGATTATAGCCATGGGAATTAACTTGGCAAACTGTCATTCTAAGTTAATTTTTCTATTCTTTGCCAAATTTTGTGAGTCAAATTACCAATCAAAAACAAGCCTAACTTATTTCCTTGAGATAAACTATTTTGACACTATCCTCTCTGTTTCCATAGTATTTCATGCTGATTAATAACCTAGAAGATATTAAATTTTAGTAAGCTTAGCTGTATACCTGAATATTTATCCTGATAGATTAGAAACTTTATGATGAAATAGAGAATAATTTCAGATTATAGAAGGCCTTCAGAGTTCTGTAGTGGCTTTTTATACCATGTTTGGTAGAGAATATTCAGAAATTTGGAATTAAGGAAAGAGAAATTACATTATCAAAAGAATACTTAAGTAGCATTACTTTGGTGTGGATATACAAAATAGACTGAGAAAGAAAATTAGTAGTTGGGGAAACAAAGTATAAGGAAATGAAGGCCTACGTTATGATAGGACAGATGTGAAAAAAAGCAGAGAAAACATTTGAAAACAGTTACTGATTCAAGGAAGAAGGAAAAAATTGAGACAAAGTTATGAACAGGATGACTGGAAGAATTTCCGTAAAAAAGATGGGGAAGGGGCCTATAGAAAAGAAGATGACTTTGTCAGGAAAACATTGAAAGATTAGATAAAGGCCAAGGAACAAAGAACCGATGATCATGACACAGCACATTGCACCTGAGAATCTGAAAGAACTTTTTGAAAAGATTAGCCAATATCATTCAAATAGATGTCTGAAAAGAGAGAGGACTTTGTGAGGTAAAGATGTTTTGGTGTCAGAAAAGGGGGACTGATTGAAGAAACAGATGAAAGGATTGTCTTTAAAAGGTGTGACAGAATATTTATAGATTTTGGAGGGAAAAGGGGAGTATTCATAATTCCACACATTCGGTTAGAAACAATGGTAGTGAATTCAAGACTTTTATCATATCAGATATAAGAAGGAAAGTTGAAGAAGTTAAGAAGAAGAAAGTGAACACACACTATGTGCCTTATCTTTGGAAAATCGTATTATAATAGAAAACACCTATTAGCATTTTCTAGCTAAAAATAAGAAATCTGAGCAAATAATGCTACTTTGTAAAAATACTTTAGCATTATCATAATATAGCCTTATATAGCATATATCAAATAAGCTATATAAGGAGGTTGAAGTGAGCAAAATCTTCCATAAACAAGTCAGGGTTGAAGTTATTTAGCTCATCAACATGGAGACAGAATTGTATAATGACAAAATCATCTCAATTTTTCAAGATATATACAGTAACCTCTATGATTGTCTATGGAATGTCCACAGATTTCTTGTCCATCCAATCACAGAGGAAGAATCCGCAAAATAATTCCCTAACAGCATATATACTAGGAATGTATTGGTGAAAAGAGAAAAATTGAAAACTAGAAAAAGAAAAGAGAAGAAAAAATAAGGAAAGAAAAGAGAGGAAGAAAGAAAGGAAAAGAAAAGAAATGGAAGGCAGAGACAGTATGGCATTTGCTATTAATAACCAATGCCATGAATCAACAGAGCAGGTCAAGGAGCAATTGCAAGTGCACACATGCCAACTCCTGTCTCAACTCCAAATAATTTATCTCATACTGTGATAATCACCAAATTTGTACATTTGAAATTGTTGTTAATAAAATGAAAATTCATTTAAAAGTACTACTATTAATAAATTATATTAGCATATTATCATTTCATAATTTTTAGTTAAAGAATACTAAAAGGAAAGGGAACTTTGACCCAAATTATTAATCTTTTTGCATTTATAATTGAAAGTTATTTGTTAAAAAAAGTATTCCCTTTAGCAGAAACTAAAGTATTTTGTGTAACAGAAAAAGATACAGTATAGTTTACTTAGTTAAGAGTATTACAAAACGTTACTTCAATAGTTCTGTGCATAGTTCCTTCCATACTTGGCGAAATAGCTTAAGACAAAAGTCCTTACCTAAAATTCTCCAGGGAATCTTTGATATTTGTTAACAATGGGGAAAGTTAATCACAAAAAGGCTGGGTGAAAAATAAAAGTAGAATACAAAACTAATTTTTTAAAAAAGCAAAATGAATCTAGGGCAATTTAAAGTAATTACTTTATGCTCTATGTTGTCTGCTAACTTTTAGAACATAAAAACTACAGGCCATAACAAAAGAGACTGGTAAACTTATTTATTTAATCCTTTGGGAGAATGTAGGGGAAAAATAGTAGAGTAAGGAAAGATATGCAGAATCAAAACAGCTATATTAACTGGATATCCTGAAATTTAGTCTGAGTCAGTATTATTTCCTTTTCTTTTTAGATAAAATTATAATTTAGGGTCTAATAACAGACCTTCCAAATACCTGCAGCGTAATTCCATAATTATAATTGGAGATCTTAACATCTCTCACCAATAACAATAACCACACAAAAGAGATAAAAGATTTCAACAGAGCTACTAACCAACTTGACGGTAATGATACTTACAGAACACAACAAACAATGACTAATACACACTGCACGTGCACATGGTGTTTACCAGGAGGCATATGCTAGAATGGGCTGTTTAAAAAAAATCTCAACACACATAAAAGAATTGAAATCCGTGAGTATATTCTCTGACAAAGATGGAATTAAGTTAGAAAGCAATCATATTCAGGTACCCATAAAAAACTCTACATTTCTAAAGAATCCATGGGCCAAAGAAGAAATCAAAGATAAGTTATGAAATATTTCAACTGAAAGATGAAAATACAATATACCAAAATTTGTGTACTGAAGTTAAAGCAATGCTTACAGAGAAATTTACAACTGTAAATGTTCATGTTAGAAAAGGAGAAAGATCTAAAACCAATTGTCTGAGTCCTACTTTCAGCAATTACAAAGAGATCAAATTAAATGCAAAGTAAGTAGAAAGGAAATAATAAACATAGCTAAAAATCAATAAAAAGGAAAATAAACAAATAGAGAAAATTAATGAGATAAAAGCTGGTGCTTTGAAAATATCGATAAAATAAAAAATCCTTTAGCTTGAGTGATCAAGAAAATAAACAGAAAATTCACTATTTAATAATATCAGGAATGAAAGATGGAACATTACTACTACAGCCTAACATTAAAAGGAAAAGGGAGTACTACGAACACTTTTTGTTCTAGTAATTCACAACTCATCTAACATCTAGAAATCAATTGGTATAATTCACCAAATAAGAGGAGGTAGCCCACACAACTGTTTAAATATCTACCCATCTACCTCCCTTTGTGTCCATATACTCTGCCTTCTCTTCTGATACTATGGACCAGGGATCAGCAAACTATGACCTGTAGGCCAATCTGACCCATCTATTTTATAAATAAAGTTTTGTTTAACACATCCATACTCGTTCAGTTATATATTGTCTATGGCTGCTTTACCATAGAACAGGTAAGAGCAGAGTTTAACGGAATGACAGAAAGCATATGGCCCACAAACCTCAAATGAAGGTTCATTGACTTTGTTGAAGTCAACCCTGATTCTACTCTCTGGCCTTCTACAGGAGTTTGCTTACCTTTGGGGCAAATGCATTTTGCTCCTAGCAAAGGGCAATATCTCCATTTCCTGGATCTCATCCCCTCTTCCTTTCTCAAGGTCACTGCTCCTGCACTTTTTCCATCTCTCAGTTTTTCCTTCACTACTGGTTGTCCTTCATCAAAAACAAACTAAACATACTATGAATTCATCTACCTTTAAAAAATGAAAAACACTTTCTTGACTTTTATTCTTACCCTAGCTATTTTCTTATTCTTTTTCTTTTTATAGTTAACAACCTCCAATGAGTTATGTATACTAAATATCTCCAATCCCCCCCTCATCTTCTTTCCTGAAGCCAGTCCAATCAGGCTTTCTTCTTCTCACTTCAAAGAAACTGTCCATGGACACCAATGACCTCCCCAGCTCCTTTAGTCTAATGGTAATCTTTAGCTCTAAAAGTCATTGATCCATGAACAGTTGGTTGGTCACTTTCTTGACCTAGAAATACTTTGTTCACTTGACTTTTAGGAAACTGCATCATACTGGTTGTTCCTCATTTTCTCAGTCCCTCTTAGATTTCTCTGCTTACGCTCACTCCCCTGTGATTCCAACCAGAGATTGAAAACCAACTATATTTTGACAAAGTTTAAATTCCTACTCCAGTTTTGAAATTTCCAATTAAACCCAGACTTGCATATCCAACTGCCTATCTGATATCTCCACCTAACTGACATTGGAACCTTAACGTGTCTAAAGCAAAGCTCCTGGCCTGCCCATCTTCTCAAAGCCACTGTATTTACTTGCACCTTTGCCCATCTCGGCTAAGGTCAATTTCATATTTCTAGTTTTTCATCCAAAATAATCTTGAAGTTAACCCTGATTCTACTTTCTTTAATCTCACATTCAAGATACCTACAAATACCTTTTATCTCAACCTTCACTACCACCCATCATCTAATTTTTTTTTTTGCGGGGGGAGGTGGGGGATGGAGTCTCACTCTGTTGCCCAGGCTGGAGTGCAGTAGTGCAATCTCAGCTCATTGCAACCTCTGAGACCCAGGTTCAAGCAATTTCTCAGTCCTCAGCCTCCCGAGTAACTGGGGTTACAGGTGTCCACCACCATGCCTGGCTAATTTTTTGCATTTTTGGTAGAGACGGGGTTTTACCATGTTGGCAAGGCTGGTCTCCAACTCCTGACCTCAGGTGATTTGCCCACCTTTGCCTCCCAAAGTGCTGGGATTACAGGGGTGAGCCACTGCTCTCAGCCCCATCATCAAATATTTATCAGCACCTGCACTACTACTCACTAGACCAAATATTTACCTGAATTATTGCAATTGTCTCCTAACTGCTTTCCTTGCTTCTGCTCTTGCCCGAGGTCATTCTGTTCTCAACAAAGTAAGCAAAGAGATCTGGTTAAAATTTAAGTCAGATCATGTGTAAAAGCCTTTAGCGACTTTGTATTTCATGCTGAATAAAAACTAAAATCGGCCCGGTGCAGTGGCTCACGCCTGTAATCCCAGCACTTTGGGAGGTCGAGGCGGGCAGATCACGGGGTCAGCAGTTCGATATCAGCCTGGCTGACATGGTGAAACCCTGTCTCTACTAAAAATACAAAAATTAGCTGGGCATGGTGGTGGGTGCCTGTAATCCCAGCTATTCGGGAGGCTGAGGCAGGAGAATCACTTGAACCTGGGAGGTGGAGGCTGCAGTGAGCCAAGATCATGCCATTGTACTCCAGCCTGGGCAACAGAGCAAGACTCCATCAAAAAAAAAAAAGCTCAAAATCATCAGGATTTTTCAGCAGATGCTACATAGTCCACCCCTCATCGCTGTTATCTTTCTGACCTCCTTTCCCACTACTCTCCCTTTGACTTGTTCTGCTCCAGCCACAGTGGCCTCCTTGTTCCCCCAATGTCCAAGCATGCTCCTGCCTCAGGAATGCAGCCCAGATGATCACTGTCTGGCCCACTCTGTCCTAGAAATGACTCATTTCTTCACCTCCTTCTTGTCTCTATCCAGTATTACCCTCTCACTGTGGCCTTTCTAACAAGCAGTTTGCTACCTCCAAACTTGCTATCTTACATCACTATCTTACATATGATATATTATATTTATTTGGTGCCTGTTTCTTCCCAATAACATATATACTCATTGAAGCTAAGAAGTGTTTTAATGCATTTTATTAACTATTTATTAGCTATTTATTTTGTTAACAACATCCCCATCTTTTTTAATAGTACCTAACACATAACACAAAACAAATACTTGTTGAAGGAATCAAAATATGTAGAACTGCTTTGCAAACTGTAAAGCAATATAAAAATGTAGCTCATTATTAACTCCTGAATGTGTAATATAGGCTTTCACTCATTTTCTTAATACTCCCTGGAGCTTCTTGGGTATTTTTATCATCCCTATTGACATTTCAGCAGAGTTATTTTTAAAGAAGTTAAATCTGTTGTCCAACTTGTCACAGCTAGTAAATCCAGAACTGGCTTTCAAACCCAAGTTAACTCTAGAGACTGACTTTCAGCCATTGAACTTTCAGCCTGGATATCAAGTCACAGCTCAGGAACCTGGTATCAGAAGTCCTGCAATGAATGGAGATGAAAAATTCTTAAAGGATATGTCAGAAATTGAGTTGTCTCCAAAGTAGTCTTGGAAGCCTGACATTTATATCACTGCATGAACATAAGAAACTTCTAATGAATAACAACAACAAAAATTATTTGAGAGAAATATATATTTTTGACAAGTCTAAGAATTTAAATTCAGGTTTTTTTGGTTATTTTCCCAGTAAATATAATACATGTAATAATACATAGTTTTTATCCATGATGAAATTTCTCACATTTTTGGTTATAAATTTGGTCTGTGTGATTTCAATTAGATGTAAAAAAAACAAATTTCTTCTTCAGATGACATTGCCATTTTCATGGCTTCTTTCCTAGCTTCCTACTCTTTAAAATCTGTATTTCATTTAATTCCTCCAGTAAGTCAGGAGAGAGATTTGCACAAGGCCTTTTCGATGGAAGAAAATTTAAATGTAGCAACTACATACTCACTGAGGAGGTCAGACAGTTCACAGTCTTACCAGTGTGAGTTCCAGGTGATATTCAGAAAACACACAGACACACAGTAATAAAAAATTTTGAAACACTCCAACCAACCAAAATTTGTTGATGCAATGTACATATTTTGAAGTTTATTCAATTTATCCATAGGAAGGGCGCTTGCTTATTTCCTTAAGCAAAGGCTTTTTAGCCATTATACAGACACAATTTTCAAAAGACTGGCTGGTGGTATTTCTATGTCACAAAGCATTAAAAATAAACTGGAGAGCAATGGCCCTCAAGGGACAGGCAACCAGCCCTGATATAGCACACAATAACCAATGGTTGGGAAAATGATGGTTACATAATTTTTCGTAATTTTTAAAAAGTAAATTAGATTACTATTCCCTAAGAGTATGTGATAATACATACTATTTTTCAGAAAGACTTCCTTCGAAATAGTTATTCATTTTTAAGTTTGGCACTACCGAAGGTTTTAGACATAGTTATCCGTGAAAATCACTTATAAATAATTATTTCATGACAGAAAAATAGATTAACTGCTTATAATACTCCAAGGACATGAAAAGAGAAACTTAGCTTAATTATAGAGTGCATAAACATTGAGAAAATCTAGTTCAATATCAAGTTTTGAAGAAAGTCTTTAAACACCGAAATTGGTGGCTAACAATTCTAAAACTCATTGTTTCAAAGTAGTTGATTATATGGTAAGTTAGATAAAGATATAATCTGTTCCTGATGTGACAAAAAAGCATGGAACACCTTACCCAGGGGCACTCTGGCAGCACTCGCGTCCGGGTTGATCCAGAAGGAAAGCCAGGAGAGAACAACAATGAGCAGAGTTGGGGCGTAGACCCCCATCATGTAAAAGCCGACCTGCCTCCTCAGGGTGAAGATGACTTCCACGCATGTGTAGTAGCCTTTCAGAAGCAAACACATTCAAGGCATGAGGTTTTCACCCACACAGAATGGCAAACATCAATGACAGACCTGGAAACGGTAAGTCACTTCCATCTGAGGCAATTTCACAGAGGAAATGCCTCAAAAAAAAGTTTTTCTTTGCAGATATATAATTTATGTGATCTAAAAGGGTGACATTATGGAACCAGTTTCAGCTGACCTTTCGCAACTTCATTATGACATTGAGAAATAGATCCCACATGCTGCTCTACTGTGTCAGTGTCTAGCCTTTTAGGTCATTGTTCAGAGAATTGGCAATAGAGTTGAACTTTTCTTTACCCGTGGGTCCTCTCAGGGCAATGATCTAAAGGAGTCATACAGGCAGTAGTAAATCAAAGTAGAACAAATCTTAAAAAGAAACACTCCGGGACTACACATTATCAGTATAATTTTTCAGCCATATGTACCACTTCTTATCTAGGATGGATGGCAGTATACACTGACTCTCATATATAGATAAACCTTAAAAATTAAGAAAGTATTGGAAGTAAACATTAGCAAGTATAGGAAACCAGTGTTTTCAATCCATATACATAAAAGATGTATATGGTGCAAACATCGGATATTCCTCTCAATTCTTTGCCCACCTCTACTTCAGGCTCTCAAAGGTACTCCAACTGAAGGAAATAACTTTCATTTTCACATGCCAAGACAAATGCAGAAATTGTTTTACAACCTAATTCTAGAGTGGCCATGACATCAACTAGTCCCCCAAATTAATCACCAATTACAGGCAGCCTCACAATAGCCTTTGCCGCCTTGAGAAAGAAAATAGTAACACGAATATGCTCACAGTACTGCATTCAAATAGAAAAGGTATTTCCAGATGTTCGAGATTATTTCTTAAATGTTTGCTCTTTTCAGTTAACTATTTAAATATAATATATAATGCCGAAAGTGCTTAATTTAGAGAAGAATGTCATTTGCCATTTTACAAATGTAAGATTGTGCATAAATAGCAAAATAAAATATCTATAATCGTTTTCTGTTTAAACTCTATATAATTTTTTTAAAATGGTGAAACAAATTAATGAACAATAAATAAATGAAACAATTATGGGGGAAAGAATAATGTTACTTTTTCCTATTTTACAGTTTAAAAACAATATTTACCTGGTCTTCCTAACTGGGAAGAATATACATATATCTAACACAAGAATAATCTACATATTTATTCATTAATAGCACCTACAGCAGTACTTGCACAGAATAGGACCTTAATAAACATGAAATAAAAGAATGGCTATTTATATCCTCAACAAATAGATTAGAAATCTTTCCTTTTCCCAATGTGATTTAGAATCATTGCCACCTCTGAGAGGTTACACAGACAGTAGAGCTAATATGTAACAAAAATAGTTGCTTTCGACTGAAGCAAATTCTATTTATGCCAAATGCTTCCATATTATATTAAAGACAAGAAATGCAAGTGTTTCTTTTTTACAGTTGAATTTAATTAAAATTAGGCAATATATCAAGTCATTCACAGGTTTTCAAAGGATGTAAAAAACATAACAATGAAAAATCTCCCTTTCTTTTCTTTTCCCACCATTCCCCTTAACTCTCTGCCTGGACAAATAAGAACATATGTTTCTAACTAACAATCATGTGCAATATTTCAAAAATAGAATCTTTCATAAGTACAATTGCTACAATTGAGAAGGCTCAAAATATTTCCTAAAACTGATTCTGAAGTACATGACTTTGTAATAGTATCACTAAGTCAAATTAGTTTTCTGTTCACCTAGTGCATATGAAATGTTTCTCAACAAATTATATATTTTTAGGTAGTCTCAGTTGTCACAAATATTATAACGATTTACTACAAAGTAGCATAGTTTAAAATAAAATTTTCCATTCCATCCCACTATGTTTAAATGATAGTCCATTCACATGAGTCCTGCAATTTGGAGCAAGTTTCCATCGTGTCCCTTTTATGAAGGTACCCACTAGGGGAGCTTCACAAGACTTGGATGCATTTAGCAGTAAAATACATGCTTGGATATTATAGTGATTTGCTCCATAAAATTTTATGAGAAACATTTCTTGATCTTTTTTTGATCTTTTCCTAGTATTATTAACATTTATGAGAGGCAGGTGGGCAGCTAATTGATATAAATGTTCATTGGGCAAATTCAATTTACTTTCTATTTCCTGTGAAGTTTTATCCCATTATTCACTCAGGCTTCCAATTTGAGTATTTTTGTATACTTGCTTTCCCACATATTTCTCCACTTTTGTTACTTCTATAATCATAAAAAAGCATAATTTTAATAAAGTTGAAGCTGCATTATTATTTCTATACAAACTAAATATTGGCTATCTTTTTATATATTGCTCATATATATATTTATACTTTCCCATTTTTCTATGCTGTTAACTATTGCATGTATTTTCAATGTCTTATTTTTCTAACTAGATTTCTAATTATCCAAACATTAAAATATATTTTACTTATATTCATATGATAATTCATAAAAGTACTGATCAAGTCCCTGAAACATACTAAGTGCCAAAAAATATTGTTAGGCATAAGTTGTTTTGTTGTTATTTTCTGTAGCTAATGAGATTTCAGTGAATTATTTATGACTCAAAAAATTTCCCAGAAATGCTTATAACTCTTGAGTAATCCCCCAAATTCCATACCCAAATACCATAGCACACCTTCTAATTTTATTCTAAGAACTAAAATGAATTATATTTTACGTTGTTTACTTGTTTACCACATTGAAATATGGCTCTCTAAAGGGCAGGGACCTTTCTTTTATTCACTACTGAGTCCCCAAATGGAGATTTTTTTTAATGTAGAGCTTAAAAGTGAAAAAATGAACACTCCTAGGACTTTCAAAGCTATTATATAATCATATGCTATTACATAAAATTACAAATAAAATTGCTAGTGTCATTTTCATCTCTAAGAAATTAAAAAATCCAATAGAGTCTCCTTCAAATTTCTCAAAACAATTTAGACACTACTCTTTTTGAAATGTTAAGCATATAATCTGGATGTGGGTAACAATTTTCAAACTATAATAGGACTCCACAGGTATTAATCGTATAACAGTATCAGACTCCCTCTCCCACAGCATCACTGTAACTGTATGACCTTGGGCAAGGGTCTATTTCATTAGCCTAATGTGTACAATGAGGATAATAAAAGTACTTAATTCATAGAATTGTTGGGATGATTAAGTTAAATAATTCCTGCAAAGAACTAAAAACAATGCCTAGTATAGCGAGAGATCAAAAACCTATCTACTAAGTACGTGTTCTTATATGACAGTCTCAAAAATCTCTAAGAACTATAATCTTCTTAATTTGAAGTACAAATGGGAGATGGAATACTACTCTTGGTCCCAAGGCTGACAGTAATTTGCCTGGTGACATTTAATAAGTAATAAGTCACCAGTAATAAGTAATTTAATAAGTAATGTATTCACTCTGCTCTTCAGTTATTTTATGTGTTAAATAAAGGAGTGGCTCAGAATTATCAATTAGATCACTTCCATATCTTATTATCTATGACTTCTTCATTGAATACTTTGATGGTCAAATTTTTAATAGCTCTCCATTTTTTACTTTTAAAAACCTCCATAATTATTTAGCAATATATTCGACTATTATCTCTGTTTTCCTAATGTACTATAAGCTTTAAGAAGGAATGCTTACATATTAAAGTTATATCATTTGCTAATGTATTTTGAAGTCAACAATAGATGTTTAACTGTATCCCCAAGCTGCCTAGCATTGTCTTTATCACAGCATTGTAAATATGTAAATGTTCTCTCCACCTCTTAATATTAACAGGAATGTTTTAAATTATATGTTGCCTTGATGACATCATGAGGACAGCATTCTAGCTCATTCTGTCAGCATTCTACAAACATCTGATCTCTCTCAGTTTTACACAATTATACTATATATATTTTATTATTTCAAGTCAACATGCATTTTGCAATAAAGCTTTAATTATATCTATTTCTGAATATTTTTGTTATGATTTACTTCCAAAGGCAGAATTAGGATTCTGCAATAATTTACATGTTGAACTGATTATTATTACTAATATAATAATCAAAATTGAATAATCTTCTTTATATTGCTAAGTGAAATAACACTATATTCAGTATCTAAAACCCTCACTAACCTAGAACTACTAGCAGAAAATAAAAGGTTGAACACTAATCATATTATGACAGTATTGAGTAGTGAGTACTGTACTTTCTGCAAAAGCTCCATGCAACTTAGTGAATGAGGTTAATTTGTTTTCCTTTTCATAATTGGCTGTTCTGTGACCTAGGTCAAGAAGACTGTACAGGGAATATTTACTGATGTCCAATTATTTCACATTCTTATTGCTTCCTGCATAGCATAAGGATCAATGCTTTTTAAAATTAAGAATATGGGCCAACCACCATCTAAAAACTACCCAAAAGACAATGGGTGAACATATATGGATTATATTGTTTATATCTAAAATGTTCAGCCCCAAGTGGAATCCTGCCAGAAGTAGAATTTCTTGACAACATCTGAAAACCACTACCTGAGAGAGTTTTCATTACTAACATAAACAAAAACCTCTCACCACAAGAATTACATAAAGAAAAATCAAGCATGTCTATCTAATAATTAAAAGTTCAAAAAACTCTAGTGAATACAATTCTGTGAAAGACTTAAACATATGAATGTAAAGATAAACTATTTGCTAATTTAATTTTAAGTTTTGGCCACTTCTTTTCTACTCTCCCCTTGGCTATGTATTAATTAAAATGTATCTTTGAAATAGAACTTCGTTTTATTTAAAGAATATTACTTACCCGTGCCTTTATAGTATTTTGTACAGTTACCATATTCAATATCTTCCTTTTTGATATCAAATTGAGGCAAGGCAATTTTTTCTAATTGCACAGGATCTCCTGACTGCCAGATAAATCGTAAATCATCAGTTGTGTAACCAACTATAAACAAAAACAAATAAATGTTAGTTTAAAATATAATTAATAATGCTTTTTAAATATTTTCATAATTCAAATCTTAAACATAGCAAAGGAAAGAAAATAAGACCTTCTTATATGAAATTGTAGTTTAAAATGTAAAGAGGTAAAACCCATGGTCACTAATGGAAGTACTAGTACAAGAGTTAAAGATATTCATCTTAAAGAAAGAACAAGTTTAAATAATAAGCATACGGCACAGATTTAAAATCCTAGGGCATCATATACAATAACTTATTTCTCTATGTCAGAATTAGTTTTTAATGGTCATCAATAAAAAGCTAATAAATAAGTGATGCAAGCTTTCTGAACGTATACATTTACAATCATGTAATATGCTCCCTGGGATTTTTAAAAGAAATGTAATCATTGAAACATCTAAATTTCTTTTAAGAAATCGGCCTGGTGCGGTGGCTGACACCTGTAATCCCAGCACTTTGGGAGGCCAAGGCGGGTGGATCACGAGGTCAGGAGTTCGAGACCAGCCTGGCCAATATAGTGAAACCCCATGTCTACTAAAAATACAAACATAAATTAGCCAGGCACGGTGGTGGACGCATGTGATCTCAGCTACTCAGGAGGCTGAGGCAGGAGAATTGCTTGAACCCGCAAAGTGGAGGTTGCAGTGAGCTGAGATCGCACCACTGTAGTCTAGCCTGGGTGACAGAGCAAGACTCTGTTTTAAAAAATAATCATCATCATCATTATGATCACTGCAAAATTCCCTAAAGGAGTTGCATCACCATAGAAGGCCAATAAAATAATCCCTCAAAGGGACATAATTACAGCATCATTTCAGCACCCTGAAGCACACACATTTTGGGCTTAGGTATGTGGCTACAATTTAAAGAATTTTACAGCATACACTAGTCTAGTATCGAACTCAAAAGTGTATGTATTTTTGAAAGTAATATTTTAGTGCATCCAGTAATGGGATCAAAATGTAAATGCACTGTTGGAAGTTTTCTACAAGTACATCTTGACATGCAGGCACTCATATACAATACATACAAAAACATAAACAGACATGTGCAAACATATAAACACATACATGTGCAAAATCTCATTTTATAGTTAGAAAGAAATAAATACTGCTCAAATTTAGGATCCATTTCGGTACATTATTTAAAAAACAACCACAAAGTAACTTTAGACATATAACCTAGAATACATATGCAAGATGTTTTGCCAGGTAATTATTCTTTACTCTCTGAAGAAATAGACGACCTTATTATAAGATGATCCATGTATTCAGGCTAAACATTCCTTGCATTTGTGTTTTTTTTTTTGAGGTTTATGTTCTACTTTTATTTTCAAAAGATAAGCATCATGGGAAATTAATTAGTACATTGTATAGATAAATAATAATTTCAATTAATACACCTAGGGTACCTTTTAATAAATGAAAAATATATGATCAATTAAACATAAAAAATACAATTTTGTAAAAAAGTTGTTTACATTTCTTTACTTTCATAGAGAATGAATGCTCAGTTGGATTTACAGAATATTTTTCAATGTTTTCCAAATTTTCTGCTAAGAAAATCTGGTTTTAACATCAGAAATGCTATTGAAATTAGGATGTCATTTTCTCTTTTACCTTGCCTGTATTACCAACTCAAATAACAATGGCAACTGGAATGTTAGAAGTATACACCTACATCAATGAACTGAAACAAGGCTAGTACAAAAATGATTTATCTTAATACAAGTTAAGATAGTATTAATAAAAGAGTAACTATAATTTCCCTAAATAAATTATTTTAATGACTATTTATAATCAAAGCACTAGTTTTACCACTGTTGTCTAAGATGTCAGTAGAATGTATTACCCAGACATTTTAAACACTTTATTTTCATAATCAATTATGTTCTCATTTACGTACAGCTCTCCAGTTGCATCTTGCAACGTTGTGTATCCATGGGAAACAATGTCAAGTCCAAAGGGCATGAAAGAGTAATAGATAACCTGGAAGCAGAAATGGGTCTTAGAAATAATTTAATATACTTCTCTGTCATCCATTGATTTTAGAAGGAAAATATAAATGCACAAATATGAAATATAAAAGAGTACCTCATGCTGACAAGGACATCTCCATCACGAAAAATAAAGAGGAGGATGTTTTCCTGGGTCACATCATGAAAATTGGCACTTTTTTCATTTGCAAAAAATAAATCAGGTTTCCATAAACACTTGTACATTGTTGGATCCACTGTCAGTGCATCTGAACCCCTAAAATCACTGGGGAGCTTCAGCCTGGGGTCATTCCATTTTTGTCTCAGGAAGATGTTAACTCTATAGTCCTGAAGAAAAAGTACATGCGTGCACATGTGTATGTTTATTGCTATTTTTAAGAACTTATTCGGCCCCAAAACAAAAAGGGTTACAATGATTAGTGGCACAAATATTTTTGTTCTTCCAACATCAACCAAGATCACAACAACTGTGTCACTAAAGGAGAGCTCCATTAGCAGTATAAAGACACTTGTCTCTATGTAATTACTCTCTGCAGACATTCCGTAGCACTTGCTAGCTCAAACATCAGAATATAACCTTGTTGATAGTTCCTTTACCTTTATACAAACACCAATTATTACAGTTGATTAGATGGTAGTACCATAAAAGCCTGAGAATCACTAAGTATTACTATCATTCTTCCCCAAAACTTTTTGTCCAAGTATACACATATCTTAAAATTAAAATTCATAATGAAATTTAGATTATTACTTAATATCTGATGATTATTGCAACACCTACAAAAATTAATTCAAGAATGTCTAAGACTAAAACCTATCTATCTCATGGAGTGAAGGCTTTCAACAGATACAACGTGGCAAACGTTTTTATCCATTGCAGGAAGACATGCATGGCCCTCTACTTTAGAGGGAACACACATTAGTTTCAAGCATTTTCTAATAAAATATGAATTATACTACCTTAGCCAAAGCATGTGGCTGATAGCCACTTAACGTTATTTTGAACACTCAATATAATTCATTTCAAATTATTTGCTAAAAATCTTCCTTGAAATATACACACTGAAAATTATTCTATTACATTCTGTATTAGTCTGTTCTCACGCTGCCAATAAAGACATACCTAAGAATGGGTAATTTATAAAGGAAAGGGGTTTAATTGACTCACAGTTCAAATGGCATGGGAGGCCTCACAGTCATGACAGAAGGTGAAGGAGGAGCAAAGGCATGATTTACATGGTGGCAGGCAAGACAGCACGTACAGGGGAACTCTCCTTTATAAAACCATGAGATCTCATGAGGCTTATTCACTGTCATAAGAACAACAGGGAAATGACCTCCCCTCTTGATTCAATTATCTCCCACCAGGTCCCTCCCACCACATGTGAGAATTATGGGAGCTACAATTCAAGATGCCATTTGGGTGGGGACATGGCCAAACCATATCACCACCTTTAGGTGCTGTGTTTTATCAAGGTAAATCACCAAAACCCTGTAACTTTGAATTGCTATATTTAAAATAAGCATTCATAATATTATGATAAAATATTATGTCCTTAATTTGATATTAAGGTTCAGTATAAGAAATAACCAGATGAAGCTGTGTAGGTATATTTTACATACTTGTTGTTAAAGCTGTGACCCTTTATTGTGATCAATGACCCTTATATCAAAATACACAGGATGAATTCCTTATTTAATTTTTAAGTTGTTAGAAATATATTACTATCATACCATTATATAGGTATTTACCATGTGCTAAGTATACTTAATGTTAAGTGCTTTACAAAATCACATTTAATCCTCAGAGTTTACACTATCAAAATGCTCTCCTGATGCTTTCATATGCTTCATATGACTGGAAAATAAGACTTAATTGTGTTTTTCTTTTAGTCTTGTAGCTGGGAAGCTAAACATTAACTCTACTACCAATTGCATTAACAATTTCTCTCTCATATCCTGGTGCAATTACCATTGTATGTCTCCTACACATTCAGTTCTTTCTCAATTACTTCATTGTATTTTTCTTATCATATACCTCAACTCTTTCTGAAATAGGGATGGATAGAAAATAAAATAACAGTTGAGATATTGCTTTATTCTTGACAAGAGCATTTCAGTATTATTTGGGTGTTGCTGCCAAGAAATATTGCCAATGTGGCTTCCAGAGTTAGAATGCTTTATTTCAGCCTAATATTAGTTCATCTCCTTTTGATAGAATATTACATATATGTATAGGGATATAAGTATTAAAATCTTATAGGTATTCTTTATTTATTTACTTTAGATTTTTATTTTTATTTTTTGAGACAGGGTCTTGCTCTGTTGCCCAGGTTGGAGGGCAGTGAAACTATCACAGCTCACTGCAGCCTCAATCTCCTGGGTAATTAAAAAAAAATTGTATAGAGATGATATCACATTATGTTGGCCTGGCTGGTCTCGAAAGCCTGGGCTCAAGCAAACTTCCCTCCTTGGTCTCACAAAGTACTAGGATTATAGACATGAGCCACCATACTCAGCCACTCATTAGTATTCTTTATCCAGACCAAAACAAATATCTTTTGGAATGTATACTGGTTGGCTGCTCAGTAATTAATTTCTAAAGATTTTATATCAGTATTTTATAATAATGTTCACAGTATTATCTGACAGAAATTAAAGAAATGCTAGTATTTAACTTCAACATGTTTTGCATAACTAAAAAAGAAGTCATTCTGTATTTTGGGGTGAAAGTTCATAAATTAAGCCTGTATTATACAATATTCCCCTTAAAATTTCCATACACGCACACATGTTTTGGAAGCATAATTCCATGTTCTACCTATTTTCAAAATGGTATGGTTAACTAATCTAAAATTACATACCAAAAATAGCTTTGTTTTTAAATTTCTTTAGGAATTTTAATAGTGTTTCTCCATGTGAAGTTTACTATCCTAAATCCTTCTTGAAATCTTATGAATGTTTCTACACAACCCAAGAATACATTTGTATTTTTTATCAGTATATTAAGTCTAAGCATTTTAATCAGCAGAAGCAGCTTTCCTTCATTTTCTTCCCATTTTGCATCCTTGGGAATCCAGCTACAGATTAGATCATAGACTTTCAGAAAACATTTATTTAAATTCCATCTAAATCCCTAGGTAATTTACTAGTTAGTTCATTCATTCAAAAATTATTTATTAATGACATATTAATTTTCATGGTCTAGTTAGCAAGGATAAAGCTGTGAGCTCCCCTTGCTTTTAAAAAAATAACTATAAGGGATATTGAACATCAGTCAAACATAACTTGAAAAAGGCTATGTAAACATAAAACAAAAACCAGTTCACAATGGACATCTAATTTTGACTCTGAAGATCAGTTTAAGCTAACTAATGAATTGATACCTATACTGAGACCTGTAGTTAGAGAAATCTGGGTCTAAATTCTGTGCTAAATAATTTGCTATATGGGTTTAAGTCAAGTTATTTAACTTCTCTGAGCCTCAAATTCCTTGTCAATAAAATTAGTCCACAGTTACTCTAAGAATTAAAGGAGATACTCTACTGAAAGCATGAAACCTGGCCCCAAGTGAGTACTCACAAAAGTTTATTACTTTTATTATATGTATTATTAACATTATTATCATTATGTCTATTATCACCATTTTGAATATGCATACATTACTATTGACAGCATTCCTTTTCTATTGTTGTAAAGATGTTACCTAGAAGTTTTAGTTGGCTGCTAAACATTATTAAAGCTAACATTTTACTAATTCTTCAAAAGCTTTTAGAAGGCATTTTTTGTATGTACTAAAAATCAAGCACTACATTAGGTGCTAGCCATACAGAGATCAACACAAAATGGTACTAGAAAACAAATCTGAGATTTTCAGACTATTATTCAGATTTCACTGGCTAGAGATACATGAAGTAACATGGCAAACTTGTTGTGTGGACTACTTGTTATTATGGTCCAGATTAAATTCAGTGATTAAAGAGGCTTATTTAAAAATTGATTTTGCCGGACTCTGTTAAACAATCATTCATTCCTTTGTTTGTTCATTAATTCAACAGTTATTCATTAATAAAGACTTCCCATGTTCAAAGGTCTGAGCTATCTGAGAGGGATAAGAACATGGGGTCCATATCCTCAGGAAGTGATGATTAAACAAGTCATGAAACAATTGGTAAAGACCCTAAGGGATGTAAGAACAAAGCAATACTTGTTGAGAGAATAAATGATCACATCAGACACCAGCGATCAGGAAAGGCTGTAGAACTTAAAGCTGGTGGGGTTCCCAAAGAGTAAAAACTTTGACAGGTGGTGGGTGACATGTGGGAAAAGCAAAAAAAAGACAGAGGCAAAAAGATACCACTTCTTAATCAGTTTCATCAACAATACAATATAATCAATCATAATAAGAATGATTAAATATCAAGATAGAGAAAATGGCCCAAATAATTCAGGGGTCAAGCAAGAGACAGTGGAAAGGTAGGAGTTAAAATCAAGGCCAAGATATATACAAAGAACTCTTGAAACTCAACCATCAGAAAACAAACAACTCAATTAAAAAATGTCCAAAAGATCTGAACAGATACTACCCCAAAGAATATATACAGATGACAAATAAGCATATGAAAAGATGTTCAACATCCTTTGACATCAGGGAAATGCAAATTAAAACAACAATCAGATACCACTACACACCTATTTGAATGGCCAAAATCCAGAACACTGACAAAAACGAACGCAAGGATGTGGAAAAAGTGGAAAAAACTCATTCATTGTTGATAAAAATCAAAAACTGTTCAGCCACTTTGGAGACAGTGGTTTCTTACAAAACGAAACATACTTTTACCATATGATCCAGCAACCACACTCCTTGGTATTTGCCCAAAGGAGCTGAAAACATGTCAGCATAAAACCCTTCACTTGGATGTTTATTGTAGTTTTATTCATAATTGATGAAAATGTCATTCGGTAGATAAATGGGTAAGTAAACTGTGGTACATTCAGACAATGGAATATTATTCAGTGTTAAAAAGAACTGAACAATCAAGCCATGAGAAGATATGGTGAAACATTAAATGCATATCATTAAGTGAAAGAAGCTAATCTGAAAAGGCTGCATAATGTACGATTCCAATTATCTGACATTCTGGAAAAGGCAAAACTATGGAGACAGTAAAAAGATCAGTGGTTCCAGAATTTAGAGAGGAGAAAGGGATAAAGAGGCAAAGCACAGATGATTTTTAGGGCAGTGAAACCCTTCTGTATGATACTATAATGGTGAATATATATCATTATACATTTGACAAAACCCATAGAATGTTCTAAACTAGGAATGAAACCTAATATAAAAGATAAACTTTGGAGGATAACGTCTAATTATGTTTGATAACAAATGTATCAATTTGGTGTGTTTATCCATTCATTTACTAAGTGACATTTTTGTCAATTATGAATAAAGCTACAATAATGTCTACATCGAGTCTACTCTTAAAAAGTGAATGCAAAAAATACCATAAACAAAATCAAAGTCAAGAAATACAAGGTTAAGAAAAAACATCCCAAGTTTTAAGATAAGGCAAAAATATTGTTTGTTCTTTCAATATCACACTAAAACAATGTCTAACAAGCCCACCTTAGTGCCTGTGATTCTCCAGGACAATGTAACTTTCAATTGCTACTTTCTATTGATTAGGGTTATGACTGTAAAATTAGATAACTTTTAAAAATTGATGTTACTAATGATTTCTGTCTTGTAGAAAAAAAATTCTTCAAGACTATGCCTATACGTCTCTGTATAACATTAACAAGTTTTGTATTAAATTTAACAATCTAATTTCAGCATTATTTCTTTCACTGCAGTCTCTTGAATTCTTCCTTGGATCAGCTTCACTATGCTGTTGGTTCCCTTATTAGTGCATCAAATAAATCATTGATATGTCTTCACTATAAGTCTGTCTTAAACTTTTAAAAATTATATATTTTCCTCAAAGGGCTAAACACAGAATTTCTATATGATTCAGCAATTCCAATCCTAGGTATATACCCCCAAAAATTGAAAGCAGACACTCCAACAGATACACTTGTACACCCATGTTCATAGCAACATTATTTACAGCAGCCAAAAGCTGAAAATAACCCATGTCCATTAACAGATAAACAAATAACCAAAATTTGGTAGGTACATTCACACACAATGGAATATTATTTGGCCATAAAAAAGGAATGAAATTCTGACACATGTTACAGCATGCATGAACCTTCAAAACATTACCAAAAAAATATCAAGACTAAGAATAGGTTTGTTCAAAATTATTACTTAGAGCAGGAATACAGAACAAAAACAAAAACAAGAAACACAAAAATACCTGGGAGGGTAAGCACTTAAAGGGCTGGCTAGAAGACTGAAAAAGAAAAAAATCCTAAGAATGTGATTTCACTAAACCAAAAGAACAAAAGCTTTGTGATGGTCAACAGCAGTAAGTGCCACAGAAGGTCAAGTACAAAAACAAACAAACAAACAAAAACACTGACTACTTTCAGCAAATGAGGAAGCCACTGAAGATTACAGCAAAAACATTTTCGATACAGTGGTGTATCAAAAACAAAATTGCAGGGGATTAAGGAGTGAATGGAAGACAAAGTTCCCTTCCATATAAGATAGGGATAATAATCATACACTCACAACATAGAGTTTTAGGAAGAATTCAGTGAGATGTTATATGCAAAGTACATGAACTGCACCTGGAGATATTAGGTGCTAAAAAACTTTTTCATTTTATTAGGAAATATCCTTCATGTTGTTGTTATTCCTTTTTAATGCTTGTAGAGTGCTTAATATGCTTTTTTGCTTCAAAAAATTCTGCATATAGTGTAACATGTTTGGGTTTCTCTATACTGAGATGATCTACCTACAATTATTTTGAACAGTCATTCACCTCTAGATCTCAAATCTCAACACAGTGCTAACACACATTTTTTAGCATCTCCTAAACTCTTCTTGCTTTAAGCTGCACCATTGTCACCTCAATACACCACAAAAAAAAAGCTCAAATGGGTCTCTACCCCAATTATTTTGTTTAAATAGAATTCCATCAGAGTCATATTCCAATGAGCATCACCAAAACTGGAAATTGCCTACTTCACTGGTTCATTCAGTGTATCATCCTGATTATTATGTCTTATTTCATTATGAAAGTGCTTCAAAGATTCTTTTCTATTAGTTATGAGGCCATATAATACTATGATTCCACGCAAGTTCCAGCAAGCTTATGTATCTTTTAAGAATATTTCAAATTTTTACAATTTAAGTTAATAGTTTGTGTTGAACATTCATGAAAAGATAAAAGCTCATTAGTTACATGTTTTGGTTAGTGTTTTATGAGTATTTTCAAATAATTACTAGTTATTGGCATTTCAAATGCTTTATATTAAGATAACCATCTTTGAAACCTATTTATTTTCATTTTCAATTATTCAATCACAGTAATTATAGCTCTATCATTTATCTTGCAAGAAACAAATTCCCATCAGAAACAGACCTCTTTTATGAGTGGGAAATTACTTAATTGCTTTTAAAGCACTGGTGACAAATACTATTCATTGTTCATTCCAAATAACACACTATTAATCATTATCTGAAAAAATGGATGGTCTCCAAAAACTTTTAGAACCAATTAACACCCAAATTAAACCATTTCTTCAAGGCAATAAAACATTTCACAACAAGACACTATAATCGGTTAAGTTTCATAAATGATATTTTAATATTAAGAACTGTTTATATTTTGTAATGTTGTTAGAATAGCTCACATATATAATCTTTAATTCATTTGTTTTCTTTGCATTATGGCAAAAATTAGCATTCAAATAAATAAAAGAGATCAGCTCTTATAGCATCTGGCAGCATTATAATTAAAGTTCTGTCAATAGGGCTATTAAAAGCCTGGTTTGAAAAGGATTTAAAATTTAGCCTCAAGTCAGGTTAAAATTCCATATAAGAATTGCAAGTTACCCAAATGCCTGTAAAAACTCTTAGGTTATATAGTAGTGATTTTTCTCAATATATCATTTTTCAAGGTTTATAATTAAAGATTCTTCAATAAAACCTTATGGATAATTAATTTTTCTAGATCTATGTTCATAGTCCATTTCTATTAGGAGAGCCTGCTAGGTGGTGCTATGGTGCCACACTAGGCTGGAAACCCCATAAAGAATAGAGACCTGCTGAGGCTGAGTATAAAAAGCATCCAATACACTTCTATTAAATACAGGAATGAGGAAATGCCTTCTGTATCATGTTGACAGTTCAGTTCAGGAAGTTGTGTAGTATTATTCACACCATTAATTTTTTTCATATCCACTAATAACAATAATCAAATTACTAGAAAGAGAAAACAAAACTTGGACATTTTTCATCCTTCCACAATGCCTAATACAGTACTCTTACTTGTGAAATTTAATCACCAATGCTTCCAAATAATGTAACTTGAAGAAAAAAGGTAATGAGGAAAGTATCCATAACAAATTGTTGAGTTTCATGTACGTACACTAAAAAAAGGTAACTTTGACACAAAGGAATAAAGTATATTTTAACTACTAAAAACATATATATAGATATTTAAAAATTACATCCTTAATAGAATTAACCTTAATGAGTGAGAGGTTTAAGTAATTACTCAATAAAATACAACTGATTAGTCTGGCATTTTCATATATGGAAAAAGTTATGTTATAATCAGATAATCCTTCAGCTGGACTTGGGAGGAAGTTATATGCAATCAGATAAACCTCCAGCAGAATTCAGAAGGAAAAAAATTACTAACAAATGCTCATCAGCATATGTACTAGTTTCCAATTGCCACTGTAACAAAATTACCAAAAATAGTGGCTTCAAGCACCACACATTTAGTATCTTACAGTTCTGTAGCTTAGAAGACCAAAATCATGTTCACTGAGCTGAAGTCAATTGTTCTGTCTGAGGGGCTGGTTCCTTTGAAGCCTCTGAGGAATGAACCTCTTTCCTTTGGCTTCTTCAGCTCCTAGAGGTCACCTGCATTCCTTAAGTCATGGTCCCTTCCTTGCATGACAACTGCTTCATGCTTCCTGCATCACAGCTACTACCACTGACCCTGATCTTGCTGTCTCTGTCTTACAAGAACGCTATCAATTACACTGGTTCACTTGAAGAAACTGGGATACTCTCCCCCGATCTCCAAATATTTAATTTAATCACATCTGAAATGTCCTTTTTAACATATAAAACAGCATATCCACAGGTTTGAAAAGGATATAAAATTTAGCCTCTAGTGAGATTAGAAATTTCATATAAGAATTGTGATTACTGGTGATTATGACATGAACATCTTTAGGGGGCCATTATTCAGCCAACAACAGAGTGCAAACCCTGAAGATGAATAACATGAGAAAAATAAATATGAAATCAGTTTAATGTTTATGATTTTACATCTAAGATGTAAAATCTACTAAGATATGTGAAATAAAAAATGGGACAAATATGTCTAATATTATTCTACAGTAAATTCTATTATTCTATAGTACATGCTTTAAAATTAACAACAAAAACAAAATATAAATAGTAAACTGAGGCAAGTTTTAAGGAAAGCATTTTAAATCTAAATATAAAAATATATAAAATAAAATTGTTTTAAAACAACAAAGATGAGCAATTACCAAGAACTAGAATCAAGCATTTTTAGTGGATCCCAAATATGAATTTTTTTCTTGACAGTCACAGCTGTGTTTCCCAAAAGGAGTTGCAATCTATTATTAAAATAAACAAAAAGTCATGGAACAAAAAGGCATAGAAAGTCTGACAGGATCATGAATTATAGTGCAATAATAATTCAATATAATTACAAAGGATGCCTAAACTAAAGAAAGAAAATAGATTGTATAAACAGGCTTTTATTTCCATGAAAGAGCTCTTATGTATTTCTGATAAGTCAAAGTGCCAGTGTATAGATTATGACAATACACGATAATACCCAGTTTTCCCTACATAAGTTCGATAGGTCACATTTTCAATTATGAAAATCCTGCTGATTAAAGCCAAAGTTAGGAACTGAATGGAAACTCAACAAATATTGTAAGCATAACTGTAGAACAGATGTCACCTAGCCCCTAACAAATCATTCTTCTCACTGTTTTGAATACTCTTATTTCAGTTGTCACAAGCAGTAGCACATAAACTGGTAGAACTAGAACTGACTGTTCCAGCAACTTCAAATTGGGATGATAACATTTATTTGACAATTTTGGTGATGCTACTGTTAATGTTGGTAAATACCACTTATAGTATTGATAATGATACCTTACAAAAATGTAAGGTAGCAAAATACAAATGAGCACACAGACATGAGAAATAGGAACTATAAAGCTTCACAATGAGGCCATAAAACAGGCTGAAGCAGCGTATAACCACAGAGATATGGAAGACCTTAAGGAATATTAATAAGGCTGTAATTTTTCCTCCACTATACAATTATGGTTTATGAATAATGTGAGGTGACTTCTAGTTTAGCCAGCAACATTTAGCATCTAAATTTAGAGAAAAAAAGCAAAAACAAATTTTTTCCAAATAGAATTGGTTAAAATTTCCTGACAATAACATTAATGCCAATAACTTTGCT
Organism: Homo sapiens; assembly: GCF_000001405.40. Classification (NCBI taxonomy): domain Eukaryota; kingdom Metazoa; phylum Chordata; class Mammalia; order Primates; family Hominidae; genus Homo; species Homo sapiens. The sequence goes on along the minus strand of NC_000004.12, from coordinate 157,126,149 downwards.
TGCTTCCTTGTTTGATAATCAACATTATCCACTGATGAAATGGGCTGCCCCTCTTCCTTTAAAAGTTGCCCTCCATCTTTCTGACACCTGACTCGTGGCTATTCATGTTATATCTACTCCCAGGCTCTGTGTTCTGCATTGTGCTTTCTTTAATAAGCACTATCTGCTGAAGTAGAATGGTTTGAATTTCAGAGGAAAGCACAGAGCAATACTGAAGCTTTTTAAATGTTAAGACTTCCTTTGGCATGATCTCAGCTCACTGCAACCTCCACCTCCTGGATTCAAGTGATTCTCCAGCCTCAGCCTCCCAAGTAGCTGGGATTACTGGTGTGCACCACCATGCCCAGCTAATTTATTTATTTATTTATTTTGTATTTTTAGTACAGACGGGGTTCACAGTGTCGGCCAGGCTGGTCTTATACTCCTGACCTCAAGTGATCCACCTGCCTCAGCTTCCCAAGTTGCTAGGATTACAGACATGAGCCACTGTGCCTGGCCAGGAATTCCTTTATTTTTGTACATCCTTGTAGGGGAGATTTCTAGGAGGCTAGTAATAGACAAAGCCACACATATACAGTAGGACTGCTAATACAATTAGAAATAATTCAGTTTTTAGGATAATATACTACTGTGAAATTTTAAATTAATTTGCTAATGTATGACAACCAAAAAGTCATCATCACTGGCATAGTGGTTGCTATGCCAGTCAAAATACCGTTGTTTTAATTTTGTAACTTATTCCCTCCCTTTAGTAACACAGCAAGGACACAACAGACTCAAACACAAGCCTGTTGGATGACACAACTCACACACAGCCCACCATTATATTGCCATGAATGTGCATCTTATATATAGACAAATCTAATACTCTCTGCTTTCTCAAACTCTTGTTTTGGGGAACTTTTTTTGTTTATTTTTATTATTTTTGTTTGTTTTGAAGAAGTATCCTCTCATAACATAACTCCTGTCCAGACATGTATACCCTTTTGGGTTACACTTCTGTGTTATCACTATTATTTTCTGACCATTGTTTATAACAAATTATGAAGAAATGAAGTGTTGTCTAGATGAATTTTTTCTTTTGAAAGATATTTTAATGTCATTTATGTATCTATAATGACTTATGCTTTCCTAACTATTAAACAACAAGGTATTACAGCATTTGCCTTGAGAAGACTGAGCAAATATATGAAATATGACTGTAAAATGATATATGTGTACAATTCTACTTTATAAAGGTATATAAAATAAATATTGCTGGAAGCAAAAAAGAATAATTATGATAAAATGGAATATTTACATCTATTTAATGAGTGTAGTTCTGATCTTAAACATTTAGGCATGTCGGTCAATATAAAGTGAAGGGCAGATTGGTTTTCATCCAGGCTATATGATCAAAGAAATAATGAATATAAATAATTTGACTCCTTTAGATAAAGGTTTTCAAAGTTTTCAAAATTACACTCTGTAGTAACGACATTATTCAGTCTGTTATTAAGCCATCTAAATGCTCAACATTAATCTACTGTTTAAATTTGTTCCACCAACCATTTTACTTAACTAAGCAAATAGCAATTTTATTTGTTCATTTATTCACTCACTATTGGCTAATATAAAAATATTTATTTATGTGTTCACCATTGAGTGCCTAATGTCTTCTGTATTTTATGGAAAAATGAGTAAGTAGAATACATTATTGCTAATTTTATGAGTTTATAGTCCATTAGAGAATAAAAGGAATACACACAAAAATAATTTAATTACAGTATAGAAGCTATTAAAGTAACAGACAAATAATAGAGATGAAAAACCTAGATTGAAAAGAGTGCACAAAGTGAGTGAGAATAGCCATGAAAATTTCTGTTTAGAAGAGAAGAAGATCAAGAATAAAAAGCAAGGGTAAAGACTCCATGGTGAGAATTTATTGAATCTGGTACCGAGGATAAGTTATTCTTGGCTAACTACTGGGATGGGTCTGTGCAGATGAGTGAGAGGATATTAGAAATGATGAAATATTTTATCATAATCATCAAAACTCTGTAAGAATTTATTTAAATATTACATGCTCCCTGGTATTTTCAACTCAATACAGTCTAGTAACTACTGATGAGACCTACCAGAATTCCTTCCTGATAGTTGGAAGGAATTCAGTATTTATTACAAAATAGATACATTAATGATACCTACTGAGCTATGACATATGCAAAGAAGAAAAAAAGATCCTTGCATTAGCTGACCTAAAACTCTCTTGGATCTGATCACAGGGGCATGCAAGATAAAGAGTGGGGATGTTTCCTATAAGACGCAATATCTTCATAGCTGTGTTTCTGTATTAGTGTAGTGGTGTCGTGCTAGATAACCAGGGTACAGAACAGGGTGTGGAGATCAAATAGATTCCTGCAAAGTTTTACCTTGAGAAAATGATATCTCTTACTCTTGGAAAGTGAAGTATATAGACAGATTAACCACATTTTCAGTTAATGAGTGCTATAGTGTCTCTTGAGTCATATATAGTAGTTTATATTTTATTTCAGAAAGGTCTCCTAGTGATTTATAATGCATGTCTATGTTATTTAAATGATGTAAAAAGTCACTGGAAGTGAATTTTGGACATAATCCCCAAATCTTTTAAGTAATTCTCTAAAATATCTACACTTTGTCCATTACCCAGCTTAAATATATACTTCTACAAATAAATAACACTCTCATCACAATTAAAATTTAAAAATAGGTGTCATTAATTAAATGCAATGTACAATTGCTTTTATAATGTACTATGCTGCTGCTACTAGGAATAATGGAGTAAATATTTTAAGTAATTATTTCACTAGTCTGAGATATTCTCAGGAAAATTAGACTGTACTCTTGCCATTCTTACTAGGCTTGCAATCAAAATCTTATATTTAATAAAATAAAAGTGTCTCCCAAAAATACAGGAAAATAAATCTTAGGTCTTCTTTCTTCCACCTGAAGTATTATTTCACCATGTGGTTTGTCAAAAAGAGCACAAATTTAATATTCTAAAACCTTAGTAAGCAAATAGACTTTATCGAATGGCTTTCAAGAGGCTTAGGAAATCTACTAATATTACTTTACTGAAAACTTTGTCCCTAAAGTCCAACTTATCATGGACAACAGCCAAACCTCTCTTGAACCTCTTTCCTATTCCTTTCAAGACACGAATCTGCTTGTCACTCCTTCCCAGTCTTCACCTGCCTTTCCCGGCCCTTTCATCTTGCTGCACCATCTTTTCAAGGCGTTCACATTGCCCTATCTTATGAAAATCAATTTTCTTATTTGCTTCTTACAATTCCCTGCTCTACATATCACAAAATGAACATAACAGGTAAAACAAGGATTCTCCTCAGGAAATTGGAAGAAAAAAACTTGAATACTTAAAACATTTTGAATGTTCCAACATATAAGCATATTAGAAAACAAAAACTGTTGCCCAAGAGTCTTCATGGCATAAGCGCTTTCTCCAGGTTGTATCCAATCACAGTTTTTCAGGGGGAATACATCAATTCTTTTAAGTCTGTAAGTTTTAACGCAATATTAAAGCTAAATGTGAATTGCAAAATTATGTGGGTAACTGAAATCACTGATTTAACAAAATCTAGAAATTTGGACATTTTATACTAGGAAAGGGCATGGATTATTTGAGTTGCTCCTTATTGTTCAATTTTAATGTTACTTTCACTATCTCCTCTATTGAAATATTTGACAAAATATTAAATTAATTGCAATCTTACCATTGTTGTTTCTTGAATGGATCCAAAACTGTTAATAAAAATGTTGACTACTACATCAACAGGAATGCCTATGAATAAAAATTAAGAATATATTTATTAGCTGTAAAAAACTTGGTCAGAATCATCATAGTTTTTTTGGTTTGCACATTTAATTATTATATTTTTTCCAATCCATATGGAATGCAAAAAATCTATGGTCTCAGTATAACATGTTCATAATTGCTATTAACTTGTTTTTCTAAATAGGAATCATAATACAAATAAAGCAATGAGTTCGATTATATTTTATAATGTTTTTTTTTTTTCAGGAAGAATTATGTCTTAAATTGTAGAGACTCTGTAAAATACATTTACTTTTAAATCTTTTTTTAAATTGCCCTAATACATTTACTTTAAGGAACTACAAATTATTCTTAAAGAATCATTTTGAAAACAGGGTTTCATTTTTTTGCATTTTTCTAATCAGTTCAAATTCTTACTTTAATAGGTAAAACAGTATTCAATAAATTTTACTTGTAATTATTATTTTAATTTTTAATTCATGAAAATGCAAAGCTAATTGGACACATAGCAGAGTCATTATAAAGATTTTTGCCTGACCTTTTGAAAAATAATTTGAAAGTTCACGGAGTGAGAACTAAGGTATAATGTTGCAAATTTCTTTCTATTTTTTTTCATCTCATTGTGGCTGCTCGTTGTGCTAACAAAGGGAAAATGTGAATTTAGCCTTTTAGCCACATAACCACTAACTGATGAAAAACAGGTGGTGAATCAATATATGGTAGACATGTGACAACCCAGACCATGGCTGTTGTTGAAAGTAACTGAATAGGTCCTGGTAATGAACAAAAACCCATTTTTACAACATAGTTGTATAACTTCAGTTGACTAGAAGCAGCTGCAGACCTATTTTTTTTTTCTAAAGGCAAAAAAAAAAAAAATCAAGCCTTATAATGTTAATCTGATCTACATTAATACCTGTCCTTAACCAGCAACAAGGATTATAGTTTTCCAGAGGAGATGTTTTTCATACAGCTTTTTTCTAATTCATCAAAAGTACAAAAAAGGTCTCTACAACTGCACAATCTGCTCATGGCTTATTTTATTGTAAGCATAGTTTTGGTTTTTAAAAGGTGTGATAAATGGTAATATCTAATTGGAATAAAAATAATCTATGTTGTGGACTACGTAATCACTTTTATTCACAAAGCTAACATGCTTTTAAAAATCATACGGCCAATTGTTTTTTCAGCAAAAGAATAGAGAGAATTTTCTATTAATGTGAAATAATAACAAAAAGTAAGAAAGACTCTAAATATACATCAGAACTGTTCTCTTTCCCTAAATGAGAAAATCATCATTCTGCAAATTATAACTCTGGTGTCTGTGAATGAAAGCCAGGTCTATTTCCAGAGCCTAAATTTTAAACCACTAAGGTTAAGAATAGTACTTAGAAAACCCATTGCGGATGTTGGCCTATTAATTCACAGTATATCCTTTTTTGAATTTTTAAAAACAGGTAACCTATAAAACAATTAGAATTCATATTTTACTCATCTGAATATTTTAGGCATTGAATTGTTCTGAACTTAAGGACATTTTTGTTATATATCACTTTGAAATCTTACTGTTTTGAATATCACAAAGCATATACATATAAAATATCACAAATCTCTAAACATATAAAATTAATTTTTAAACAATAAAAATGAACATTTATATGGGGGAGACAAACCTTTGAAGTTTGGTCTTATCCTGGGATCATAACTGACCAATAACCTGTTCAAGATATTGCTAGTGGAGTTGGCAGGTACTCGGGCAAGGTCCTCTGCTGACTGCTGACTATAAGAGAGAGAAAAATCCTGATAAGTAGTTATAAATAGCAAACAACAGAAATGGGTAATTCTCATTGGGAGGAAAGACTGCCTTTTTGAGACAAATCCACAACTATAGTATGGCTTTTTCTTCTTTTTTTTATTTATTTTATTTTATTATTTTATTTTATTTTATTATTATTATATTTTAAGTTTTAGGGTATGTGTGCACAATGTGCAGGTTAGTTACATATGTATACATGTGCCATGCTGGTGTGCTGCACCCATTAACTTGTCATTTAGCATTAGGTATATCTCCTAAAGCTATCCCACCCCCCTCCCCCCACCCCACAACAGTCCCCAGAATGTGATGTTCCCCTTCCTGTGTCCATATGTTCTCATTGTTCAATTCCCACCTATGAATGAGAACACGCAGTGTTTGGTTTTTTGTTCTTGCGACAGTTTACTGAGAATGATGATTTCCAGTTTCATCCATGTCCCTACAAAGGACATGAACTCACCATTTTTTATGGCTGCATAGCATTCCATGGTGTATATGTGCCACATTTTCTTAATCCAGCCTATCATTGTTGGACATTTGGGTTGGTTCCAAGTCTTTGCTATTGTGAATAGTGCCGCAATACACATATGTGTGCATGTGTCTTTATAGCAGCATGATTTATAGTTCTTTGTGTATATACCCAGTAATGGGATGGCTGGGTCAAATGGCATTTCTAGTTCTAGATCCCTGAGGAATCGCCACACTGACTTCCACAAGGGTTGAACTAGTTTACAGTCCCCCAACAGTGTAAAAGTGTTCCTATTTCTCCACATCCTCTCCAGCACCTGTTGTTTCCTGACTTTTTAATGATTGCCATTCTAACTGGTGTGAGATGGTATCTCATTGTGGTTTTCAAATAGAAATAGAGACTAGTAAATATTGTTAAAAACCCAAAAGACATTGTTATTAAAAATATATATATTTTAACAATTAACTTTACTAAATGTATGAAACATTGCTCTAAATACTCCATGTTACTTTCTATAAAGTAAAATTAAGCAGACAGGTTACTTGTTCTGAAGCAACCTGCCATTGAAATCTAGGCAAGTACAAAGGGAGTGCACACAATGAGAAAAAAACAACAAAGAACATTTTTTGAACAATGTGTAATATTAGCCTGCCAACACAAAAACAATCTGACCAGAGAGATGGTCTAAGAATTCATAAGGCAATCATGCTGATGTTCATAAAATGATATTCCCCAAGAAATACAGTGAACATTTTCCTCACTCAGTAAAATATGGCAGCTTGGGAGGCAGAAGGGAATTGGTAAAATACTTTTCACTATTATCAGATAAATGAAACAAGTAAAATACTCTATACTATAAGAGATAACTACCTATTGCTTTTCTATATATATTTGTCATGAACTCTTTATTAAGAAGAGGAAAATCTGCATTGTTTTGCTATTTTAATTAACTTTGAATAATGATAAGTGACAAAATTGGTGGTTGCTTAAGAGCCCTTTTTTAGAAAGGCACTTTCTTGGAAGCCAAGGAAAATGTTTTGTTGTTTTTGTTTGAGTTTGGTTTATTTTACCCCTCATAAAGTCTTATGCATAATAATTTTTCCCATTACCTACACACACACACAAAATCCATGACAATCACAAGGAAGAGCAAAACTCTACTTGAAGCACCTAGCACAGCCTTTTCTGTGTTGATATGGTAAAAAGTCTCAGTTTCATAAATTATATTAATTTATATGAAGGAAACTTAGATGCAACAGGCTTGGCTTTGTATTGAAATCAAAAGTCTTTATCTATTAGGCATTTCTGAGTTTATTTTCATACAATCTGCCGATAAGAGGCAACCATTGTAGGTGAGATATAACAGAAAAAAATGTATGACATAATTTAATAATACTATGAATTGATATAGACAACCCTTTCAAATAGAAATTCAGTCAGAGTGCAAAGCATTTTAAAAGATGAAAATCAATCAGTTAGACCTCCCAAAAGTGCATAGATCATACGGATTTTTAAAAATTGCTTCTTGTGGCTTTATTGGCTCCAATATCACAGCTTCATAAACTTGAGGGCTGGTAATTAGATTTTCCAATTAATTGCAGGTAAAACTATAACTTCCTTACAGCCAGTTGTCATCCTTTAACAAAAGATGGAAAACTCTAAAGAGAATGAGCGCACGTGGGAAAATTGGATATTAGGATGCAAATTAGCGTTCAAACCTATCTACAAGTTTTCTCATTCAAAGGAAGTAAAAGAATTGATTGATTACAAAATACACTTGTATTGGATCAATTCAGGACTGCTGTTATTGTGTCTCTTCATATAAAATCTTTTACAAGTACATTCCTTCTAAACAATGAAAAGACAACATGAAGACAATTAACACTAAATTTTGTAGTTTAGAACTTTCCAGCTGATTTTTCTGCTTCTAGCTGTAGGCTGTGTCAGTCAAACTCATTTTTAGCCCTTTATCTCACTACCAAATTTTGTCCTTCTTCCACAGAATCAGTCTCTCTTCCTGGAATATTGTAACTTCCATTCTTTATTGTACTAATCTAAACCAAACCTGTCCTTTTAAACCTCATCTTCTTTGTAAAATCTTGCATCAACCATGCAACCTTACTCTAATAAACATGAACTAATAAATATATTGTTTGGCAATGATTTTGTAGCTTTTCTTTTCTTATCTACGAGTATATTACCAACTAGACAAAATGAAAACAGTATGATTATTGAGGGATTCATGGCTTCTATATATCTGTAGTTCCCTACTGTTTTTATAGTATTAAATACACATTGGTTCAAGTACTTCCAATCTGCCATCTCTTCTAGGTATATTTCAGCCTCATGTTGCCTGTGCTGTAAGGGGTAAGCAGTTCCACTCGTTATTTCCAGAGGAAGAAGAACATTTTGTCCTGTGGCACTCTCTTAGGAGTAATGACTTCCCCCACCCTCAGAATCTTCCCAGCATTGACCATTGCTGAACTACTAGCAAGGAGGAAGAAACATTCATGATTGGCTCAGATCAATAGTCTGGTGCGGAATGAATATTGGAGAATCAACCATTATGTCCATCACATTCTTTCATTTGATAGTCATGTTCACGTGATTAAACAGAAGAGATATTAGCCACACAGAAAGCTGTTATTTTGAGGGAGATAATGGTAGAAAAACATTGGTAGAAGAGTAAGAGGTAAGTAAATGAACCTGTAGAGTACATGGTGTATGAAGAAACTAAGACAGCAGGGTTAAGAGATTTTTCTAAGGTGGTAGAGCCAAGAATGAAACCTGCTCCATGGTAAGCCTGCCATAGTGTAAGTGAAATATTATCTATCTTCTTATTACCATCCATACACATATTGCTTTAGGGCATATGTATTTTACCTTGAGTTCTATTCATTTTACTAAGCATTGTTAAAAATCATTAGTACTGAAAATATAAATTGGCCCTTTCTATCAGTTCACTCTTCTACCATCTCCAAATGTTTTTCAACTCTCCACTGTTAAAAACAAATTTTTGTTCGTTAGCAACAAAAACTCAACATTGTTTGACAAAAATCTTTTGAAAATCAAACAAGCAAACAAACAACAACAAAAAAACAACCCAGGGAATATACCAAATATCATATGGCCCCTTTTCTTCTATTCTTATTTGTGTCAATATATATTTTCATGTCTCAGCTGCAGGTAACTTGGCATAAATGTTTAATCAACAATTCACATTTATTTGTATTAGAAATACAGAGATGTTTTAAAATTTAAATAAAATTCCATGTAGTTTATATTCATATGCATGAACTCAGGGTTTTTCCCACCTAAAAAAAGTTAAAATCATATTTTTTAGCTTATCAATACTAAAATAACATTAAAATTATCTCTACAGACTAAAATATAAGAGATTAAATGGATACAGTCACTTTGTTTTAAAGAGTTAAAACAATTTGCATGTAACATATTTTCCCTTGTCTGTATGTTACTATATATCTCCTTATAATTTAGAAAGTAAGTTAGTATTACTTAACACAAAATAAACATGAAAAAGGAGAGTTAAGTGATTTAAATTAGATCACACACTTAATGCCTGCTTTGTTATTAAAGTCTTCATATTCTGAATCTCAGTCCAATGTTTTATGCATTTGACTATGCTATTTTGTTTTATTTTAAGAAATCTATCAACAATTCCAATATATTAAAAAGCAGGATTTATTTCTTGGAAATATGACATTAATTTAAGAAAATAACTTATTCTACTTGGGCAAAGTGATCAAATGACTAGAGAAAATAGAGTTTTATATCAAAAGCCTTTTACAACCAGTCATCTTTTGTTCACTTGCCTAAACTTGAACCAATGTCATTACTAATATGTAAAGTTATGCAAGGAATGTGTCAGACTGTATAGCTGTATGATGTAATATTTTCCAGCACTAAAGGAAAAATCCAGAAATTTATTTCCAAAGGAGGAAGCTCAGTTTTCTATTAACTGTAGAACATTCTTTTTTTTTACATGACCCTTCAGTGACCACAGTGCACAGTTTCATTTCAAAACAGGTGTGGATGAGTATATTGTATTAATCTTCTTGCTAAAACTAGAAATCTGAGTCTAAAGGAATTGTTTTATTTCTCCATAGAGCAATAAATGCAATGACAATTGTCAGAGGCCGTCTCAGACCTGAATGTAGTAAGTGTGGGGCTGCGCAGCTTTCAGCTGGACATGAACTTAACCAAATACAAAGCCACAGACACAAGGGTAGAATGAGGATGTAATATGTGTTGGTTGTATCATTTCTCATGCTCTAAGGCAGTGATTCTTTGCCTCTTTGTTAGATAACAGATGTCTCTGAAAATCTGATAAAAACTCTACACTTCCCCAAAAAGGGTATACAAAATTTGTGTTTCTGAGGGTTCCTGGACGAGTAGACCACAAGTTAAGAAATTCTTCATGGAAACAGATCAATCATCCTCCCTTCTACAGCAAGCAATTCTGACTCTGTGGGATGTTTTGATTACTGTTAATTCTGCTTTTCAGACACAGCAAGATACAAGAAAACATAAGGTATTATTGTTGGTGGAGGTTTTAGATGGAAGATTCCCTTTCTGAATACTACACTAAAAGGACTCAGAAAGGAATTATATCAAAGAAAACAATATAACTATAAATAGTGGCAACCGTGATGTTATTAGTCATTATTTTAAAGCTGGTAACCTCATATAAAGTGAAATGAGAAGACAATTTTTTTTTAAAGAGCAGGTATCTTACAGTAACAGAAATTAAAGAAGTGTTCAGGAAAAAAAAAAAAAAAAAACACCATAATGGAAATATGTCAATGGAAGGACACCGGAACAAACTGAGAGGGTTCCCAATGGCCAAAGCTGCAATGATTTGAGCAACAAAATAAAGTAGTATTGTATTATAGTACAAAATAAAAATTCCAGAGTCCATACAGATAAAAATAAGAATTGAATAAATGGGGAAATATAGACAAATCACTCATGAAGAATTCCAAATAATTGGTGTAGATCTTCTGCTTTCTAATTGGTGGAAAATAACTCCCCACTCCTTAGTGTGAGCTGTGCATAGTGACTCCCTTCCAAAGAGTTCAGTCTGCAAAGGGGGGTGCGGAAAGAGTAACTTTATGGCAGAGAAACTCCACGGGCACTCTCCTCAGCAGGTGATCAAGTTAACCTCAACCGTGATAAGTCATGTTGATAATATGGACCCTTGATATGATGTGATAAGAATCACATTTTAACCCGCGGGTCTTCCTCTCAAAAACCACATAACCTAGTCTAGTCATGGGAAACACATCCGATAAATCCCATCTGAAGGACATCCACAAAATATTTGACAGATACTTTACTAAACTCTCACAGTCATCAAAAGTAAGTAATGTGTGAGTGACTGTCACGGCCAAGAGAAGCACAAGAAGGCATGACAACTATGTAACATAGTATCCTGGAAGGGATCCTGTGACAGAAAACGACTTAAGGTAAAGACCAAAGAGGTCTGAATAAAGAATGGCCTTGACTTATTAATATTCTATTAATATTAGCTCTTTAATTGTAAAAAATAAATAAAAGCACCATACTAAAGAAAAATAAAAATAGAGAAAATTAGGTGCAGGGTATTTGGGAACTCTCTGTACTACCTTGGAAATTTTTCTATAACTCTATAAAGCTATTCTAAAATAAAATGTTTATTTGAAAAAAAAAAAAGAAAGAGAGAGAGAGACCAGGAAAGACACTGAGTCAGGAGAGCCAATTGCACTCTCTCCTTCCAAAATCCACAGCCTTAACTGGAAGCAAACTATGTATATAATAATCACATGGAAGTGAAACCTTGATCACATGTTAAGGCTGGGGCTTATGAAAAAAACACTGCTACTGGTCTGTAAATATAAAGGTATTAAAAGTTCAGCATTACATTTCCATCTGTATGCAATAATTTTTAGATAATCAGATAAATAGACATACAAAGACAGACAAATACTTCATGTATTCAGCTAATAAGTTAAATTGGTGGTTATTCATGAATACATATAACTGTGTAATTATTGTGGAGTATTTTTTATTTTTGTATTTTCCTACTTATCCTATAATTTACTATCACTTCTCTTGACAGCTTCTGGATTTATTTTCCATTCTGTTTTCACAGATTAAACTGTAAACAGTTTTATGAATGCAGACAGTGAGTGATACCTTTTACATGATTAGTTTAGTTTAAACTTATTTGAAAAGAATGTGTTTATGAGTGTGTGTATGTGTGTGGCAAAGTCTGTCATGTTATTATGGGCCAAGAGTCATAATTAAGAAGAGTGTTCCACAACATTCATGTTATTTATCCCCTCACCTGGGTTTCAGGAACTGTTGTAGCCTGTGGAAACATTTTCAAATCTTCTCTAGCTCCAATTATACAATTACATCATCCATGGCTCAAAGAAAAAATATTTTGCATAAAGTAGAAGCAACTATCTGGAGAGATACTAGATTTTTAATACCAGCAATTTGCAAATCTCATTGAAGGCTATCTGTTGGTCACTTTTAACTTCATATCTCATGTGAGATTACTCATTCTATGACAACCATGTAGAAGTATCTTCTATTTATACCGTATATTGCTCAACTGTAAAACATTATACATTCTCACTAATTCTAATGGGTTTGCTAATGATCTCCAAACCTCTTTGACATAAAGAGTTAAACCTCAATCCAAACACAATGTTTACTGTGCCATTACTTTCCATACTCTACAGAATAGAATTACATCCTGGCCCAGCAAGTACAAATCCATAGTTACGACTTCTAACTCTGCAACCAACTGCGATGATACTTAGCTTTTCTCAATTTTCCATATACAGCAAAAACTTAAAATATTTCCCTCCTGGCCCAACGAAAATATCTATATGAAAAATTACACACACACACATATACACACACACTAAATTTGAGTAAAATGTGGGTATAATTGAAAAACACTTCTCTGAGAGTCAAGAGACTAGTGTTCTAACCCTCAGATGGACTGTAAGCTTCCCACATGATATTGGGCCAAGCACTTACCCTCTGTGAGCTTCAGTATACTCACCTTTAAACCAAAGGTTAAATTAGGTGAGGTCTCAGAGCTCATTCATTTGACAATCTGATTCTACCTATGGTGGATGCTGCAGTGCCCCACCATCAAGGTCACCCCTCCAGGAATGAGCTTGCTCCTGGGAATGTTGGCTGCCTACAGTTCAGAGCTGAGTGTCTTCTGGAATAGCCTTTGGCTGAAGTAAGGTGTCTTGTCCTAGAGGCAGCCCATACCCAGTGACTTTGATAGGGGTATATGAAGGTGGCTGGGTCCCTTTCTACTAATTAAGACAACCCTGAAGGGCCATCCCATCTTCAGAGTTCCCAATGGCATGGACTGATCACTCAGTTGCAACCCCACTGTTCCTGTGTTTAAGCCTGCGTTACTCCCTCTTAAGACATGTTCCCAAAAGTAATCCCTTTTTTCATGCAAATTTTCATCTCAATGTCTCTGTCTCTAAGAGAATTCAACCTACAACATCAACTAAATACTAAGTTTCCTTAAGGAGCTTTACCAGTTATGCAACCACCAATATGCTAAATTTCTCTCTCACTTTAGTCATTCCTTAATTCATTTAACAGTTTCAGAGAATTTCCTATGTGCCATGCACTTGCTATGTACAGGTTATGCACTTGAGAATCAAACATACATGATCTTTATTCTGATATAAAAAAAATGGTATTTAAAGCTGTGAGTTTAGATAAATTTGTTTATGGATTCTCAAGGTTGGAAACAGATTGGATTCAGCTGAGGAATTCTAGAAATTACTGATACCTCATCCCATCACCCATATCTAGATTTAATTAGTTTTGGATGTGGCCCGGGCATCAGGGTTTTTAAAAAGCTCTTCAGATGATTTTAATTATCAGAAGAATCACTTGTTTGAAAAGAGAGTTTATGGTTAAAAAAAAAAAGACATGGAATTGAAATGTGAGGAATTGCAATATTTAATAAGCAGATAGGAAAAGATAAGCCAATAATTCAAAGAATAAATAGCCCAGGAAGAAGGGGTAAATCCAGCAGTGTGTGGCACCAACAGAACTCAAGGAAAAAAAAGAATATTTCATGAAAGAGTTGGCTAACAGGGCCAAAAGTTGCTGAGAGGTTGAGATGAGGACTGAAAGCTTTCCATGGGATTCAGCAAAAGAAAGAACTTTTTTTCAGTTGAGAAAGAGGCTAGATTGGAGTGGATAGTATAGTAAGTAGTAGGTGAAGAAATGAATGAGGGACTGCATATGACTCTATTGAAAAGTCTGTTTCCCTAAGAGTGATGTCAGCAAGATAGTGAAAAAGGAAGCCCTGGACTCTTACTCCCCCTCAAGGACATAAAAATTCAACAACAAATGGATCAATCTTCTTTGTGAGAAATTCTAAAACTAGTTGAGAGTCTTCTGTACCTCAGTTGAGTATGAAATCAGCCACACTGAACTCGTAGGAAAATAAGACACCCTCCAGCCCTAATCCCCACCCCTAAAACCCCAGCACAGCATAATATAATCATGAGGGAGTCCTCAGCTTACAGCTTCTTCCTCTGGAGTGAAGCAGTTGGACCATACACCTAGCATCTCAGTTTTTGCACATACTAGCAGAGAGACTGTCTTCTATCTCTCCTGTCTTGGAAAGCTGATAAAGCACATCATACACTAGCACACTAGGCCCCTGAGGACTACAGAGAAAAAAGTAACAGTTTGCACTAGCATGAAGACATGCCACAGCTCCTCCCCAAAGCTCAGTGCACAGCAAGGAACGGAAGTAAACCCTAGCTCCCAGCTTCTCCCTGAGAACACTTGAACCACATGTCTGCCATCCCAACTTTTTCTGGTGCTACTCAAGGGACTGGCTTTTCTCTCATCTGTCTCAGAGCACTGATAGGGCCCAGTATACACTAGACCACTGAAGGCTATAAAGAACAAAGCGGTGCTTTGAACAAGTGTGCAGAACTCATCACAGATGCTACCCGAGCTCAACACAGAGTGAGCACGTAAAAAACACCAGTGCCCAGATTCTTCTTGGGGAAGGAAAAGAGATGGATCATAGATCTGGCATTCCAACTTCTCTAAGAGCTACCAGAGGAGTTTACTTCTACCCACCTTTCTTGGAGGATAGACAGCCTAACAAACTCTGGACACCTGGGAGCCACTTTAAAAAAGGCAGTGATTTAGACTACCAAGAAGGTTTGAGAGACACACAGAAACTGGCCAGGTTGAATGGTGAAGGTCTTCTCTAGCACACGATCAATCTGTGGAAACTGGGAGATGTAGAGGTTTTTCTGCTGCATAGATAACAATACAAAGACTCAAGAAAAATAAAGAAACAGGCAAACATGATCCAAACAAAGGAATAAAATAAAACTCCAAAAACCAACCCGAATGGAAATATATGAATTACTTGACAGAAAATTTAAAACAAACAGTCATATCTTTATAAATAATAAAATGTTCAACATGCTCAGGAGAACAATACACAAAGTATGAATTTCAACAAAGAGAAAATTTTAAAGTGAAGCAGGTAGAAACCTTGAAGCTGAAGAATATAATAAACTAAAAAATTCAATAGAGAAAATCAGTGGCACATTAGAATAAGCAGAAGAAAGAATGAGCAAACATAAAGACAGGTCATTTAAAATAATTCAGAGCAAAAAAAGAAAAAACAAAAGAGTGAAGAAAAGGGTCTTATAAGACACTGTGATAATGTAACTTATAATAAGATATATATATATTTGATCTTCATTCTTGCTTCCTAGAACAGAGCTCCTAAAACCTGTAAACACTCTGGAGTGATGAATGTCTTCTGTATGCTAATAAGATGACTGGCAGTTCATGGCCCCTAGAATAGCCTTAGGATGGGGGCTGGTCACCAGAAAGACCAAAACATGATTAAAGAGTTGGGACTTTCAGCCTTATTCCCACCCCGCAACCTTCAGGGAGGGGAGAAAGGTTGAAGGTTGAGTTGATCACCAATGGCTGAAGATTTCATCAATCATGGCTTTATGATGATGCCTCCATAAAAAACCCAAAACACAGGGTTTAGAGAGCTTCCAGAAAGCTGGAGACATAGAGGATTGTAAAGGATGGTGTACCCAGAGAGGGCACGGAAGCTTTATGCCCCTTCTCACATGCCTCGTTCTGTGCATATTCTCCAGTTGCCTGATCACCTATATCCTTTGTATAATTCCTTCACAATAAATGGGTAAAAATAAGTGAAGTGAAGTGTTTTCCTGAGCTCTGTGAGCTGCTCTAGCATATTAATCAAACCCAAGGACATGATCAGGGGAATCCAGATTTACAGTCAGTTAGTCAGAAGTACAGGACACAACCTGGGACTTGTTATTGGCATCTGAAGTGTGGGGCAGTCTTCTTGGACTGAGCCTTTGAGCTGTGTGATCCAACACTATCACCAGGAAAACAGAATTTAAAAATAAATTATAGGACAAACAATTGGTATCCCCTAGAGAACTGACTGGTTGGCATCTGAAGCAAAATGCCACACACACATCTGTTGTCAGAAGTATTCTACTGGAGAGTACAGTGTAAAAAACACACTTAGGCTTTTCCTACAGATTCCATCAAGCAGACCAAGATAGGCATTATGGGAATTACAGAAGAAGTAAAAAGGGAGAAATAATTAGGAAACGAATTCTAAGAAATAATGGCTAAAATCATCCCAAATCTGAGGAAGGAAATGAACATTCAGATTCAGAAATCCCAGAAAGCCCCCAAAAAGATAAAACTAAAGTAATACACACAAATTGTATTAGTCCAGTTTCTCCAGAAAGACAGAACCAATAGGAAATACAGCCATACCTCAGACATATTTAGAGATCAGTTCCAAACCACCACAATAAAGTGAATATTGCCATAAAGTTAGTCATACAAATGTTTTGGTTTCCCAGTGCATATAAGAAACTAAACTGTAGTCTGCTAAATGTATAATAGCATTATGTATTAAATAATAAACATACCTTAATTTTAAAATATCACTAAAAAATGCTAACAATCATCTGAGCTTTAAACAAGGTTTCATCTTTTTTGCTGATAAAAGAGTCTTGCCTTGATGTTGATGACTGCTGACTGATCAAAGTGGTGCTTGCTGAAGGCTGGGGTGGCTGTGGCAATTTCTTAAAATAGACAAAAGTGAAGTTTGCTAGATCAATGGACTCTTCCTTGTATGGCAGATGTGTCTTTAACATGCAGTGCTGTTTGATAGCCTTTTATCTACAGAACATCTTTCAAAATTGGAGTGAATCCTCTCAAACTCCTGCTGCTTTATAAACTAAGTCCATGTAATAATCAAAATCCTGTGTTGTCATTTTGACATTGTTCTCAGTATATTCACCAGAAGATCTGAGTAGAGTCCATTTCAGGAAACCACATTCTTTGCTCATCCATAGGAATCAATGCATCTTCTGTTCAAGTTTTATCATGAAATTGCAACAATTCAGTCACATTTTCAGGTTCCAGTTTTAATTTAAGTTTTCTTGCTATTTCCACCATCTCTGCAGTTAATTCCTCCACTGAAGTTTTGAACTACTCAAAGTCATCCAAAAAAGTTATAATCAACTTCTTCCAAACTCCTGTCAATGTTGATATTTTGACTTCCTTTCATAAATAACAAATGTTCTTAATGGTATCTAGAAGAGTGAATCCTTTCCAGAAGGTTTTCAATGTATTTGGCCCAGATCCATCAGGGGAATTACTATCTATGATAGATATAGCCTTAGTAAATGTATTTCTTAGATAATAAAACGTGAATGTCAAAATGGCTCCTTGATTCATGGTCTGAAGAATGGATGCTGTATTAGCAGGCATGAAAACAACTCCTTGTATAATACATCTCCGTCAGAGCTCTTGGGTGACCAGGTGCATTGTCAATGAGCAGTAATGTTTGAAAATGAGTCTTTTTTCCTGAGTGGTAGGTCTCAATAGTGGGTTTAAAGTCTTCAGTAAATCATGTTGTAAACAAATGTGCTGTTACCCAGTCTTTGTTGTTCCATTTCCAGAGCACAAAGAGAGTAGATTTTGCATAATTCTTAAGGGCCCTAGGATTTTTGAAATGGTAAATGGGCATTGACTTCAACTTCAAGTCACCAGTTGCATTAGCCCTTAACAAGAGTGTTAGCCTGTTCTTTGACTGGGCATTGACTTCTTTCTAGCTATGAATAATGGTGTCTTCTTCCAATATAAGGCTGTTTAATCTACATTGAACATCTGTTGTTTCGTATATTCACCTTCATCAAAGATCTTAGCTAGATCTTCTGGATAACTTGCTGTGGCTTCAACATCAATACTTGCTGTGCCACCTCACACGTTTGTGTTATGCAAATGGCTTCTTTCCTTCAACCTCATGAACCAACCTCTGCTAGCTTCCAAATTTTCTTCTGCAGCTTCCTTACTTCTCTTAGCCTTCATAGAATTAAGAAGAGTTAGGGCCTTGCTTAGGATTAGACTTTGGCTTAAGGGAATGTCATAGGTCATTTGGTCTTCTATCTAGACCACTTAACCTTTCTCCAGCTCAGCAATAAGACTGTTTCACTTCCTTATCATTCATGTGCTATGAGAATGGCACTTTTAATTTCCTTCTAGAACTTTTTCTTAGCATTCACAACCTGGCCGTTTGACAAAGAGACCTAGCTTTCAGCCTGTTTTGGCTTTTGACATACCTTCCTCATTAAGCTTAATCATTTCTAACTTTTGGTTTAAAGTGAGAGACATGCAGCCCTTCTTTTCACCTGAAAACTTAGAGACAATTGTAGAGATATTAATTGGCCTAATTTCAATGTTGTTGTATCTCAGAGCATAAGAAGGCTTGAGGAGAGGGAGGGAGATGAAAAGACAGACTCCCAGTTGTTCACACACCACATTTAGTAAATTTGCACTCTTATGTGGGCATGATTTGTGGCACCCCAAAACAATTACAACAGTAACACCAAAGTTCATTGATCACAAATCACTCTAACAGATACAATAATAATCATAAGATTGAAATATTGTGAGAATTACCAAAACATGACACAGAGACACACGGGGAACACAAGCTGTTGGAAAAATGATGCCAACACACTAGCTCAAAGCAGGTTGCCGCAAACCTTTAATTGGTGTTTTTTAAAAAGGCAGTATATAGAAGATGAGATTTAATAGTGGTATTGGCTGACTCAATTAAAGAGGCTGAGAAGTCTTAGGATAGGCTATCGGCAAGTTGGACACCCTGCAATGCCAGTAGCATGGTTCAGTCCAAGTCCAAAAGTCTCAGAACTAGGGAAGGTGATGGTGTAATTCTTAGTTTGATATTGAAAGCCTGAGAACCTAGAGGGCTGAGTGCCAGGTTCCAAATACCAGGGAGCCTCAAGTTCTGATGTCCAAGGGAAAGAGAAAAGGTTGTCCTAGCTCCAGGAAAAAAAAAGAGAGAGAGAGAAAGAATTCACCTATCTTCTGCTGTTTTATTATATTCAGGCCCCCATCCAATTGGGTAGTGTTCACCCACATAGAAGGCAGATCTTCCCTACTCAGTACACCAACTTGCATGCCCATCTACTCTGAAAACACCCTTACAGACACACACAAAGGTAATGCTTTACGAGCTCTCAAGATATTCCTTGTTGTAGTCAAGTTGACATCTCATCAACATGCACATTCTAATGACATTGTCAAGAGCAAAAACAGAGAGAATTGAGAAAGCATCAGGCTAAAAGCCACTTGTCAAGTACATGTGAACCTCCATAAGACTATCAGTGGATTTTTCTGCAAAAAATATCATACATCCCAAAAGGCAGTGGGATAATACATTCAAAGAGCTGAAAGAAAGAAAAAAGAAAAGAAACTCACCCAAGAGTACTCTACATGGCAAACTCGTCCATCAAAAATGAAGGAACAACTTTCCCAAAACAAACAATAGCTGAGGAAATTCATCACCACTAGACATGCCTTATAAGAAATGCTAAAGGGAGTTCTTCAACTTAAAATGAAAGGATGCTAAAATGTAAAACTTGGTAAAGTTATATATAGTCTAATAAAGAATATCATATTACTATAATGGTGATGGTTAAATTATTTTAATTTTGATATAATTTTTTTAAAAAAGAGATCTACTTTCGATTTAAGGATACACATAGGCTGAAAGCAAAGAGATGAAAAAAGATACAAATGTTAACCAAATTAGAGCATGGGATGACTATACCTAGATAAAATAGACTTTAAGTCAATTATTATCATAGAAGACAAAGAAAAACATTACATAATGATAAAAGGGTAAATCCACCAGGAAGATGTAACAATAATAAGTGTGCGTGCATCCAACATAGGGCCACAGAAATTTATAAGGAAACATTGATAGAACTGATAAGAGTAATAGGCTGCAATACAATAATAGCAGGAGACTTCAATACCCTACTTTCAGTAATGGACAGAACAATCAGACAGAAAGTCAACAAAGAAACAGTGAACTTTAACAATATTATAAACCAAATATAAAAAAAAATACAGAACATTTCATCCAACAGCAGAAGAACTACATTTTTCTCAAGAAGACATGGAACATTCTGCCAGATAGATCACATGTTAGGTTCCAAAACAAGTCTTACATAGTTTAAGAAGATTGAAATTACATAAAGTATCTTTTTCAAACACAATGGAATGAAACTGGAAATCAGCATCAAAAGGAAAGCTGAAAAGTTGACACATGTTGAAATTAACACATTTTGAACAACCAGTGGGCTAATGAAAAATATTAAAATTAGAAAATACATTGAGACAAAAAAACACAACATACTAAAACATGGGATGCAAAAAAAGAAGTACTAAGAGGGAAGCTTATAATATAAATGTCTATGTTAGACAAGAAGATATAACTCAAATATATAGCCTAACTTTATATTAATACCTCAAATAACTAGAAAAAGAAAAAAAAAGCCCAAAGTTAGCAGAAGGTAGAATATAATAAAGACTAGAACAGGAAAAGAAATAATAGTAATTTAAAAAATTTTTAAATAAAATTCATAAATGTTAACAAAATTTACAGCTAGAATAACAAAGAAGAAAGAAGATGCAACTAAATAAAATCAAAAGAAGAAATCAAAATCAAAATGAAAGAAGGGGCATTACAACTGATGCCACAGAAACACAAACGATTGTAAGAGACTACTCTGAAAAATTACATACCAACAAACTGGATAATCTAGAAGAAATGAATAAAATCCTTGGCACATACAATCCACTAAGACTGAATCATAAAGAAACAGAAAAGCTGAACAGACTTCTAACTAGTAAAGGGATTGAATCAGTAATCAAAACCTCCCAACAAAGAAAAGCCTAGGACCAGATGGTTTCACTGGCAAATTCAATCAAATATTTAAAGAATAAAAGCCAGTCCTTCTCAAAATCTTCCAGAAAATTAAAGAGAAAGAAACACTTCCAAAGTCTTTGTGAGCCCAATATTGCTCTGATACCAAAACTAGAGGAAAAAAAAAACACATCAAAAGAAAACTACAGGCCAATATTCCTGATGAACAAAGATGCAAACCTCCTAAACAAAATACTAACAAACTCAATTCAATAGCACATTAAAAGGATCATACACCATGACCAAGTGGGATATATAACCAGGATACAAGGATAGTTCAACATACAGAAATCAATTAATGCCATAAACCACCCAAATCAACAGAATGAAGGATAAAAATCACATAATCATATTAATTGATGTATAAAAGGCATTTGATAACATTTAACATCCTTTCATGATTAAAAAATGCCCAATCAACTAGGAATAGAAGGAAATTACTTCACATTATAAAAGTCCTATATGAAAAGCTCACAGAGAACATCATTCCCAACAGTGAAAACTGAAAGCTTTTATACTGAGATCAAGAATAAGACAAGGATGCCCATTCTTGCCACTTCTGTTCAACATGGTACCTAGCACCCAGAGTAATTAGATAAGAAAAAGAAAAGGAAGACATCCAAGTCAGAAATAAAGAAGTGAATTGTCTCTGTATGCCAATGGCATAATCTATATAAAGGAAACTCTAAAGACTACACACACACACACACACACACAAACACACACACACAGTTAAAACTGATAAACAAATTTCAGTAAAGTTCCAGGACACAACATAAAAACATCAATTGCTTTTCTATATACCAATAATGAATATCTGAAAAGGAAGTTAGGAAAATAATTCCGTTTGTAATACCATCAAAAATAATAAAATATTTAGGAATAACCTTAACTAAGGTAATCAAAGACTTGTCCACCGAAAACTATAAAACACCAATGAAAGAAATTAAAGCCACAAACAAATGGAGAGACAGCCCATGTTCATGGGTTGGAAGGCTTAATATTGTTAAATGCCCATACTACCCAAAAGGATCAGCAGATCAATTCAATCTCTATCAAAATCCCATTGGAAATTCATATAGAAAATTTTTACAAAACAATTCTAGAATTAATGTGAAACCACAGAGTATCCCAAACAGCCAAACAATCTTGAGAAAGAACAATGCAAGAGTTAAGAAATGTAGAACTATGCTTGAAGTATAAACTATGTTCTAACTGCCATAAGATTTTAACTTTTCTTTAGCAGCTAAACAAGCACTGGCCTCAAGGTAAGCACAATTAAAGAACTGCAGCTCACCACCAGACATTGACTAACTGACCCCCTGTTCCACAAGCCATAACTACAGCTGTGATTGGACGAGAGACTGATTTCAGCAACTTTCTCCTGATAAGAAGACCACTGGCCATGGACTGGTTTTGGGCAGTTTCACAGAGGCTGAGCATTTGAGTGCCTTTGT